>NC_000002.12:28590123-28742873 GCF_000001405.40 Homo sapiens | reverse complement strand
AACTCAGTCTCAAACTCCTGACCTCATGATCCATCCGCCTTGGCCTCCCAAAGCACTGGATTACAGGCATGAGCCACTGCACCTGGCCTCTATTCTGTTCCATTGGTCTATGTGCCTGTTTTTGTACCAGTACCATGCTCTTTTGGTCACTGTAGCCTTGTAGTATAGTTTGAAACCAAATCCAGCAGCACATCAAAAAGCTAATCCACCATGATCAAGTAGGCTTCATCTCCAGGAAACAAGTTTGGTTCAACATATAAAAATCAATAAATGTGATTCATCACATAAACAAAACTAAAGACAAAACCACATGATTCTTTCAATAGATGTAGAAAAGGCTTTTGATAAAATTTAACCTCAGTTCATGTTAAAAACTCTTGATAAACTAGGTATTGAAGGAACATCATACCTCAAAATAATAAGAGCCATCTATGACAAACCCACAGCCAACATTATACTGAATAGACAAAAGCTGGAAGCATTCCCCCTGAAAGCCGGCACAAGACAAAGATGGCCTCTCTCACCACTTCTATTCAACATAGTATTGGAAGTCCTAGCCAGAGCAATCAGGCGAGAGAAAGAAATAAAGGGTATCCAAATAGGAAGAGAGGAAGTCAAACTATCTCTGAACACAACATGATTCTATATCTACAAAGCCCCATAGTCTCAGCCCAAAAGCTCCTTCAGCTGATAAACAACTTCAGCAAAGTTGCAGGATACAAAATCAACGTACAAAAATTACTAGCATTCCTATACACCAACGGCAATCAAACTGAAAGCCAAATCAGAAAGGTAATCCCGTTCACAATTGCCACACAAAAAATAAAATACCTAAGAATGCAGCTAACCAGGGAGGTGAAAGATCTCTACAATGAGAATTACAAAACACTGCTCAAAGAAATCAGAGAAGACACAAACAAGTGGAAAAACATCCCATGCTCATGGATAGGAAGAACCAATATCATTGAAATGGCTATACTGCCCAAAGCAATGTACAGATTCAATGCTATTTCTATCAAACTACCAACAATATTCTTCACAGGACTAGAAAAAATTATTTTAAAATTTATATGGAACCTATAAAGAATAGCTAAAGCAATCCTAAGCAAAAAACAAAGCTGGAGAAATTTTGTCCACATTTCTATGCCAGACCTGTATGACCAGTGCTAAGAGGTGTGGTTCAGATCCTAAGCTTTTTAGAATCCCAAAGAGGGGGAGGCAATGAGGTCAGGCAAAGTCTTAATAGCAGTGATGCCACTAAAGGATTTGAACTGGGTTGTGAAATATTATGGGATTTGGATTGGTGGCTTTCTTGATACATAACACTTGTATATTTATGGGGTATGTGTGATATTTTGATGCGTGAATACAATGTGTGATGATCGAGCCAGGGTGTTTAGAATATATATCACCTGAAACCTTTCATTTCTTTGTGTTGGGAACATTTCAAATCTTCTCCTCTAGCTATTTTGAAGTGTATAGTATATTGTTGTTAACTATAGTCATTTACTATGCTATTGAACACTACAATTTATTCCTTCTAACTGTGCATTTGTACCCATTAACCAACTTCTCTTCAACACCATCCCCCCAACCCTTTCTAGCCTCTAGCTACCATAATTCTACTCTCTGCCTCCCTGAGATCAACTTTTTTAGCTCCCACGTATGAGTGAGAACATTCAATATTTGTCTTTTCTGTCTTCTGACTTAGTTCACTTAACATAATGACCTATAGTTTCATCCATGTTTCTGCAAATGACCATATTTCATTCTTTTTTATGGCTGAATAGTATTCCTTTGCAGAATATATACCACATTTTCTTTTTCCATTCATCCATTGATGGACTAGATAAGTGATTTTTGATTGAAGTAGCTGCATGTTTGTTGTCAGAATCACCTAGGGAACTTTTTCAAAATATCAGTGTTTAATTTCTCCTCCTTCCCCAAGAACATCATAACTATTTCTCAGCATTGGGAGTGGAGGAGGATATATTTTGTAACAATATTCAAGGGAATTCTGATAGGGACCCATTCATCCCTTAGGCCTTTTCACTGATAAAGATTTCAAAAAATAAAAGATGTGAAAGAGACTGATTCAGCTAGAAGAGATAGGGGAGGGCTCTTCATGTGAAGGGATTGTGAAAGAGAGGAGACTGGGGTCCCTGGAGCAGAGGGTGCATCAGAGGAAGTGGTAGGAAATAGGGTGGGGTATTAAGATGGGGAAGTCAAGAAGAAATTGGAATGCTAGGTCAGAGAGTTTAATCCAGATGTTGTTTGAAATAAGAAATTATTCATGCATTCATTTGTTCAATAAATATTTATGAGCACCTACTCTGTGCCAGGCACTGTGTCATGTGCTGGGGAGAAAGTGGAGAATGAAATAAAGCTCTTTCCCTCATAAAACTTATATTCTGATAGGAGGGGAGAAGTGACCAATCCATTCCAGTTTGCCTGGGACATTCCTGCTTTTAGCACTCAAATTCTGCCCAGGAACCCCCTGGGTAAACCAGAATCATTGGTTCTCTAGGAGAGTCTCTAGGAGAGAGTGTGTGTGTGTGTGTGTGTGTGTGTGTGTGTGTGTGTGTGTGTGTAGTGCTGAAGGCTAGGAAGAAAAATGAAGCAGGGTAAGAGGTTGGGATGGAGAAGAATGCTGCTTTAAACAGGGTTGTCATGGAAGATCTCTCTGAGGAAGTGACACATGAGCAGCAATCTGGCTGGGCACAGTGGCTCACACCTGTAATCCCAGCACTTTGGGAGGCAAGGCAGGTGGATCACTTGAGGTCAGGAGTTCAAGACCAGCCTGGCCAACATGGTGAAACCCTGTCTCTACTAAAAATACAAAAATTGGTGGGGTAAGGTGGTGGGCACCTTTAGTCCCAGCTACTCGGTAGGCGGAGGCAGGAGAATCGCTGGAACCTGGGAAGTGGAGGTTGCAGTGAGCCAGATCAAGCCATGGCACTCCAGCCTGGGCAACAGAGCAAGACTCCATCTGAAAATAAATAAATAAGTAAATAAATAAGCAGCAATCTGCAAAAAAATGAGAATGTGGGCCATGTAAATATCCGAGAGTGGGTTCAGGAAGGGGTGATTATTTCCAGGAAAAATAACCACCTTGTAAAGGTCCCCAGCTGGAAACATGCTTGGCATAGATGAAGAACAGCAATTAGGTAGAAAGGTTGGAGGAATAGAAGAAGAGGTCAGAAGTAGAGAAGGGCCAGATGGAGCGAGCTGTGTCAAGGACACTGGATTACATTTGGAGTGTGTTGGGAGCCACAAGAAGGTTGACAGCAGAAGGTGATGGAAATGAGTGGAAGCAGCACGACTGCTTAGGAAGCCATTGCCTTAGAAAATCCTAAAGAATCCCTTCTCAAAATGTTTCATCAGAGAAACAGCAGAATGAGCGAAGAACAGTATATTCTTCGCCTGGTATCAGACCAGGTTTGGCAGGAATGGGCTGACCCAGGCTACTCCACAGTGATGGGAATGAAGAAGAGGAAGCATCTAGAGTTGCCTTTGAGCTGGGATTGCCAGAAGTTGGTGGCCCAGGATTCACAGGGGGACAAAGGAGAATGATGAGTCCAAGATGATTCCAAGATATCTTTCCTTGTTAGTTTTTCAAGTTTGAGATTCTCCTTCAATTTTCACAATCCAAACTTCATGGAATAAATGAATATGGTCTATTCTTTCCCGCTAAAATGGAGAAGGCTCCAGACCAGGCGTGGCGGCTCATGCCTGTAATCCCAGCACTTCGGGAGGCTGAGGTGGGTAGATCACCTGAGGTCAGGAGTTCGAGACCAGCTGGGCCAACATGGTGAAACCTCATCTCTACTAAAAATACAAAAATTAGCTGGGCATGGTGGCAGGCACCTATAATCCCAGCTACTGGGGAGGCTGAGGCAGGAGAATCGTTTGAATCTAGAAGGTGGAGGTTACAGTGAGCCAAAGTCACGCCACTGCACTCCAGCCTGGGCAGCAGAGTGAGACTCCATCTCAAAAAAAAAAAAAAACAACAAAGAACAAAAACAAAACAACCCCCCCAAAACCCCCAAATTGACAAGTTGACTCTTAAATGTATATAGAACCGCAAAAGATCTAAAATAGACAAGACCATCTTGAAGAGAAAGAACAAAGTTGGTGGATTATACTATCAGATTTTAAAATTTAATATGAAATTACAGTAATTAAGACAGTGTGATATTAGTACGAGAACAGACAAATCAATAGAAGAGAGTATAGAGTTCAGAAATAGACTCACATATATATAGTGGGGAAAAGATGGTCTTTTCAATAAATGATTCTGGAGTAATTGGATAGTCTTATAAAAAAATAATGAGCTTTGGCCTTTTTTCATACCATATGTGAAAAATTAACTTGAGATGGATCATAGACCTAAATGGCAAAACAATAAAGCTTCTGAAGAATACATGGAAGAATATCTTCATGACTTTATGGCAGTCAAAGATTTCTTTTTTCTTTTTTTTTTTTGAGATGGAGTCTCTATTGCCCAGGATGGAGTGCAGTAGTGTGATCTCGGCTCACTGCAACCTCCGCCTCCCAGGTTCAAGCGATTCTCCTGCCTCAGCCTCCTGGGCAGTTGGGATTACAGGTGCCTGCCACCACACCCAGCTAATTTTTGTATTTTTAGTAGAGACGGGGTTTCACCATGTTGGCCAGGCTGGTTTTGAACTCCTGACCTCAAATGATCTGCCTGCCTCGGCCTCCCAAAGTGCTAGGATTACAGGCGTGAGCCATGACACCCAGCCAGATTTCTTAAACAAGGTACAAAAACCAAAAACAAACAAACAAAAAAACTAACCATAAAAGGAAAGATTGATAATTGGATTCATTAAAAATAAGAACTTTTTCGAAAGGGCAAGTCACAGACTGAGAGAAAGTATTTGCAATCCACCTCTCTCTTTCTCTCTCCAATGAAGAATTTAAATTCTATAAACCAATAAGGAAAAGACAGACAACCCAATTATAAAATGGGCAAAACACTTGAACAAGCATTTCACAGAAGAGGATGTCCAAATATCTAGTAAGTATGTGAAAAAGGTACTTAAGACATCATTAGTCACCAGGCAAATGCAAATGCAAATCACAATGAGATACCAACCCACACTCTCCACAATGGCTAAAATTAAAAAGACTGATGATATCAAGTGTTGATGAGGATATAGAGCAATTAGAACTTCTACACATTGCTGGTGGGACTGTAAAATGGTGCAACCACTTTGGAAAACTGGCACATCTATGAAAGCTAGATCGAAGCTTTCTCTGTGGTTTAGCACTTCCACTCCTAGGTATATACCCCCAAAAATGAATGCATATGACCATTAAAATATGTGGACAAAATGTTCATGACAGTTTTATTTTTAATAACCAAACTTTGGAAATAAGCCAAATAAGTCTCAGTGGGGAACTAATAAATTATAGTGTATTCATGTGGTAGAATTTTACACAGTAAAAACAGACAAAAAAACCATCTACTACTACATGTAACAACATGGATAAACCCCACAGACATTATGAGTGAACAAAGACAGACTTAAAAAGTATATATGGGCTGGGAACGGTGGCTTGCATCTGTAATCCTGTACTTTGGGAGGCCAAGGTGGGAGGTTTGCTTAAGCCCAGGAGTTCAAGACCAGCCTGGACAACATTGTGAGACCCCATCTATACCAAAAGTAAAATAAAAAAATTTAGCCAGGCATGTTGGCATGTACCTATGGTCTCAGCTACCCAAACCAGGGAGGTTGAAGCTGCAGTGAGCTGTGATCATGCCACTGCATTCCAGCCTGGACAATAGAGTGAGACCCTTTTTCAAAAAAAAGTACATATGATTTCATTTTTATGAAATTCAAAATAGGTAAAACTAATCAAAAGTGATATAAGTCAGAATAGGGTTTATCTCTGGGTCATAGGGATATTGGCTGGGAAGGGACGAATGAGAACTTTTTGGAGTGCTGGAATGTCCTGTTTTTCTTTTTGTCTTTTTGTTTGTTTGTTTTGTTTTAAGATATGATCTTGCTCTGTCACCCAGGCTGAAGGGAAGTGGCGTGAACATGGCTCAGTGCAACCTCCACCTCCCGGACTCAAGTGATCTTCCCATCTCAGCCTCCTAAGTAGCTGGGACCATAGGTGTGTGCCACCATGCCCGGCTAATTTTTAAATTTTTTGTAGAGATGGTGTCCCACTATGTGGAGTCTTCTTCATATTGATCAAAGTGGCAGTTAAACAAGAATATAATTACATAAAAGTGTACCAAAATGTATATTTAAGATTGGTGCACATTGCTGTATATATTATACTTTGATAAAGAGTATTACAGAAAATTTTAATTTTCTTCTTTTTGCTGTTTTCTAAATGGTCACACCTTTTTCTCGGCTATATTTCCAAAAGTCTAAACTGAAACATAAATTATAATGAGAAGAAAAACAATAAAGGTTATTATTTTTAAAACACTAGAGCTGAATCTCAGCTACCTATCTAGATCTCTTGGCCTGAGCCCTGGACCCAGCTAAAAATAGTTCAGAGCCTTGCCAGCTGGGAGCTGGGCTATGTTTAGCAGAAACTGGCACACGAGTGAAATGGGGTGGAGCCAAGTAGACACTTTGGATCCGGTAGGCATAGCTCTCCCACAGGAGACTGTTTAGGCCATGCCTGGCATCAGTAACTCAGGCTGTTTCCCACACTACAGGCCAGCACTGTGGGCTCTCAGTTTATTGGGAAATGGAAATAAGAGGGAAGGACAAAAGTCCACTGGGAAGCAGACTGGACAGAAAGGAACTCTGAGCAGCTAAACTCTGACTAATCCCAGGGTATACCTGCGTTTTCTCTTCACCAGGTTAGACTTTTAATTACTGATTTGGTAAATTTGGATTCCTTTTTCAACAACTCATGTAAAAATGTTATGTTTATGTTTGGGGAGGCTGGGTGCGGTGGTTCATGCCTGTAATCTCAGCACTTTGGGAGGCCGAGACGGGTGGATTGTTTGAGGTCAGGAGTTCAAGACCACCCTGGCCAACATGGCGAAACACTGTCTCTACTAAAAATACAAAAATTAGCCAGCTGTGGTGGCACACGCTTGTAATTCCAGCTACTCAGGAGGCTGAGGCAGGAGAATCTGTTGGACCGGGGAGGCGTAGGTTGCAGTGAGCATAGATCCTGCCACTGTACTCCAGCCTGGGCAACAGAGCAAGACTGTAAAAAAAAAAAAAAAAAAAAAAGTTATATTTATGTTTGGGGAAAGCAGGTGCAGAATTATTTAGATTGCAACCATAAAAAGTTCCCTGGGTGGTTTTGCTGCCAAATCAGCTTAACCTGGGGAATTCACTTCAGGTAACCTCCTCCTCCTTTCCTGTGGTCATCCAAAAGGCAGGGATGGCTAGTATAATTATCCACATCACAGGGATGCTTAGAGGCTTAATTAATGTTCATAACCCACTTTGAAGTATTCAGATGAAGAGACAGTTGACAGAAATGGTGGTGTTCTAAGTTCTACTTACAAACTCTGGCAAGTTACAAAGCAAATTTTGAAGTTGTTTTTTGGTACTCTACTTCCAAATATACTGGCATGGCAACTCCAAGATCCTCCCTCATTTAGTTAGAATCACTGCCACCCAGACAATTTAGAGGACTCTATTTCTACATTTTATTCACTTTAATTTTTTAAAATTTTAAAATTTTTTATTTTTTATTTTTTTTGAGATGGAGTCTTGCTCTGTGGCCCACGCTGGAGTGCAGTAGTGCAATCTCGGCTTACTACAACCTCTGCCTCCCAGGTTCAAGTGATTCTCCCACCTCAGCTTCCCGAGTAGCCAAGATTACAGGCATGCGCCACCATGCCTGGCTAATTTTTTTGTATTTTTAGTAGAGATGGGGTTTCGCCATGTTGCCCAGGCTAGTCTCGAACTCCTGACCTCAGGAGATTCGCCCACCTTGGCCTCCCAAAGTACTGGGATTATAGGCGTAAACCACTGTGCCCAGCCATTTTGTTCATTTTTAAAAGGAAAGTATAAATATGAGGTGATTTATAACAAGTGGCATTTGGAGGAATGACACTAAACAAGTTGGTATGTTGCTATTGTCAGCAAATAGAGAACTTTTAGCCCACAACTAAGATGCAAAACAACTTTCAAGATAGGGAAAAAATGTGCCAAACTCTGATCAAATGTAAGCCTTAAGCCAAACACTATGAATACCATTAGAAACTTTTTTTTTTCTTTAGAGACAGGGTCTCGCTTTGTTGCCCAGGCTGGAGTACAGTGGTGTGATCATAGCTCACTCCAGGCTTGAATTCCTGGGCTCAGGCGATCCTCTCACCTCAGCCTCCCAAGTAGTTAGGACTATAGGCACATGACTTTTAAAAATATTTTGGACAGATGAGGTCTTGCTGTGTTGCCCAGGCTGGTCTCAAACCCCTGGCCTTAAGTGGTCCTCCTGCCTCAGCCTTCCAAAGCACTGGGATTACAAGTATGAATCACAATGTCTGTACTGGAAACCTTTCTAAAATAAATCCATCCTGCTTCATAATGTGGAGATGGCTTAGGATACTATCTTTTCCATTCTTGAGAGGGAGAAACCCTGAAATATTGTCAATAAAAACCGATCTGGGAGATGGCACTAAGACTCTGTCAAGGGTGTAGTCTCCCTTTATGTAGTAATCAATGCATTAGGTTTTGCTTGATTAAAAAAAAATCAAGTCTGTGAGCAAACAAAAATGTGGTGGGCTGAATAATGAAAATGAAAATGATGGGCCGGGCATGGTGGCTCACGCCCGTAATCCCAGCACTTTGGGAAGCCAAGGCAGGGGAATCACCTGAGGCCAGGAGTTCGAGACCAGCCTGGCCAACATGATGAATCCCCGTCTCTACTAAAAATACAAAAATTAGCCAGGCATGGTGGCATGCGCCTCTAGTTCCAGCTACTTAGGAGGCTGAGGCAGGAGAATCGCTGAACCGGGAAGGCAGAGATTGCAGTGAGCTGAGATGGCGCCACTGCACTCCAGCTTGGGCAACAGAACGAGACTTCATAAAAAAAAAAAAAAAAAGATGATGCTAATGGTGAAAATACTAATAGCCATCATTGAGGGCTTACTAGGTGCTAGACACTGTTCTAAGAGCTTTATATGTCTTGACTCATCTGATCCCACCAATAACCCTGGAAGATAGAACCTACTATTATCCTTATTTTGTGGACAAAGAAACTGAGACGTAGAGAAGTTCAGTAACGCTAACTTGCTTATGGTTATACAGCTTACCAGCTAGCAGTGGTTTTCAAAACACTATTGTGCATTACACTTCTCCAGAAAGCTAGTTAAAATTCATATCTTAGCTCAAGACCAGACCTTCTGATTAGAAGTGTGAGATGGGGTCTAGAAAAGTGCATTTTGGCTGGGCACGGTGGCTTACGCCTGTAATCCCAGCACTTTGGGAGGCCAAAGCAGGCAGATCACGAGGTCAGGAGATTGAGACCATCCTGACCAACACGGTGAAACCCCATCTCTACAAAAATACAAAAATTAGCTGGGTGTGGTGGCACATGCCTGTAGTCCCAGCTACTCAGGAGGCTGAGGCAGGAGAATCCCTTGAACCAGGGAGTTGGAGGTTGCAGTGACCCAAGATCGTGCCACTGCACTCCAGCCTGGTGACACAGCGAGACTCTGTCTCAAAAAAAAAAAAAAAGAAAAAGAAAAATGCATGCATTTTTAATAAATCCCTGGCAGCCTGGTCAACATAGGGAAACTCTGTCTCTACAAAAAGTTAAAAAATTAGCTGAGCATGGTGGCACATGCCTGTAGTCTCAGCTACTCAGGAGGCTGAGGCAGGAGGGTCACTTGAGCCTGGGAGACTGAGGCTGCAGTGAGCTGTGATCATGCTATTGCACTCCAGCCTGGGAGACAGAGTGAGATCCTGTCTCCAAAAATAAAAAATAAAAATAAATCCCTGGGATCAGGTGTGGTGGCTCACACCTATAATCCCAGAACTTTGGGAGGCTCAGGTAGGAGGATCACTTGAGGCCAGGAATTTGAGACCAGCCTGGGCAAAATGGTGAGACCTTGTGTCTACAAAAAGTTTAAAAATTAGCCGGATGCAGTGGCACGTACCTGTAGTCCCAGTTCCTTGGGAGGCTGAAGTGGGAGGATTGCTTGAGCCCACGAGTTTGAGGTGGCAGTGAGCTATGATTGTACCACTGCACTCCAGTCTGGGTGATAAGACCCATTCTTTAAGAAAAAACAATAAACAAAAATTAAAATAAATCCCCAAGGCAAATCAACTGTAGGAGGCCATTAGACCACTCTTTGGGAAATAGTGGCCTAGACCTAGGAAAAGGAGAGGCTGGGAGTTGAAATTTTCCAGTGTTTCTCCAGCATTGATTGGCCTTCCCTGTCCAGCCACATAGCAGGTCATCGGCCTAGCTGGTACTGTATGTCCTTGTAGTGAAAAAAGGCTGTATCAGGCTTCCAATGCTTAATGAAAATAGCCTTTCTTTTTTTTTTCTTTTTCTTTTTTTTGAGACAGAGTTTCACTCTTGTTGCCCACGCTGGAGTACAATGGTGTGATCTCGGCTCACTGCAACCTCTGCCTCCCAAGTTCAAATGATTCTCCTGCCTCAGCCTCCCTAGTAGCTGGGATTACAGGCACCCGCCACCATGCCCAGCTAATTTTTTGTATTTTTAGTAGAGACGGGGTTTCACTATGTTGACCAGGCTGGTCTCGAACTCCTGACCTCAGATGATCCACCCACCTCAGCCTCCCAAAGTGCTGGGATTACAGGCATGAGCCACTGCGCCCGGCTGAAAATAGCCTTTCGAAACGTCCAACTTGATTTGTTCAGCTTCCATATATAACATTTAACCTTCTGATTTTAATATGGTTTCTTAAATAGATTTTTCCTACCAGGAAGAGCATGTGCTGACCAACAGACATGAATTTCAGCCTGGTAGTTACAACATTCACAGGTAATGAATAAATGGCATTGTATTTTATTAATCAGTCTATTATAACTCTGATTAATATAAATCAATTCCTCAGAGCCAGCTCTCTTTTAAATAAATGGAGAACAATGAGTTTTATGAATTTGCAATCTTTGGGCCCAGCACACATTTTGAGGCCTCATTTATGCTTTCCTTAGTATACCCACATCACTAAGCTGGGAGGCACATTTTGAGACCCAGAATCCTGACACCTCCATGCCTTCAAAAGGGTAAGTTTATCAAGTTTAATAACAATTCATAAAACATCACTCACCTGGGTCCTCCTCCTCTACCTGTGACTTTCAAACACCTGTGACCTCTGAGATATTGAGGGGCATGGTGATTCGTTTTTAATATCTTTGCCCTTTTGCTCTTTTCAAATGACACTTGTGGCTGAGCGTAGTGGCTCACACCTGTAATCCCAGCACTTTGGGAGGCCGAGGCAGGGAGGTAACATGAGGCCAGGAGTTCAAAACTAGCCTGGCCAACATGGCGAAACCCCATCTCTACTAAAAATACAAAAGTTAGCTGGGTGTGGTGGCACATGCCTGCAATCCATGCTACTTGGGTGGCTAAGGCAGGAGAATCACTTGAACCCAGAAGGCAGAGTTTGCAGTGAGCTGAGATCACACCATTACACTCCATCCTGGGCGACAGAGTAAGACCCTGCCAGGAAAAAAAAAAAAAAAAAAAAAAAAAAAAAAAAAAAGCTACTAATCTGATTTGGTTTGAGGTATAACCTAGAAAATCTGGAAAAGACACACAAATGAACTTTGCCAGAAACAAAGCTGTGGAGACTAAACCAATCCATATTACACACCTAACTTTCCTCATTATATATTTTTTTGCAAGGGCAAAAAAAAAAAAAAATGAGGCAGGGTAAAGCAATGACAATTTCCACGGTCTCTGTAAATGAGGAAATTGTCAAAGGTATTTGCCACTGATACACTCCACATCCTGTGCTTTTTTTTTTTTTTTTTTTTTTTGAGATAGGAGTCTTGCTCCATTGCCCAGATTAGAGTGCAGTGGCATGATCACAGTTCACTGCAGCCTCGACTGCCTGGGCTCTAGTGATCCTCTTGTCTCCTAAGTAGCTGGGACCACAGGTGCGTGCCAGCTAATTTTTAAATTTTTTTTGTAGATACCGAGGTCTCCCTGTATTGCCCAGGCTGGTCTCAAACCCCTGGCCTCCAGCGATCCTTCCACCTCAGCCTCCCAAAGTGCTGGAATTACAGGTTTGAGCCACTGTGCCCAGTTTCTTCTGTGCTCTTGATGGAAAACTTATTATTACTGCTACTCTCCTCCTTGCCCATCAGCCATACTCTGGCTGCATTAGCTTTCTTTGTATTCCCAGCACTCCCCAGGCCTGTTGTTCCTTTTGGGTCTTTGTCTGGGGTCTTGCTCTAGCTGTAATGTTCTTTACCCTTAGATTCCCATGATTGGCTCCTTCTTGTCCCTAAGTCTCAGCTAAAGTGTTATCCTGAAGAAAGGCCTTCACTGATGATCCCATCCAAAGTAATCACTGTATTACACCATTCAATTTTATTCTTTGCATAGCATTTACCCATTGCTAATATTTTTCTTATTTATTTATTTTTTTTAAATAATCTATCTCCTGTCAACTAGAATGTAAGCCCTGATAGGGCAGGACTCTTTTATTACACTGTATTTTCATTATTATATCTACAGTGCCAAAAACTATCCCTAACACAGGGGAGATGCTCTATACATGTTTGGGGAGGAGGGAGGAAGGAAGGGAGGGAGGGAGAGAGGAAAGAAGGAAGGAAGGTGGGAAGAAAGGAAAGAAAGGAAGACAATTGGGAAGGATTTTTCTGATCTGAGGCTGATTGTTGGAGGCATCCAACTGGTTATTATTTTGCTTAACAGCAAAATATTTTTATCCACCTCCTTTGGAAACAAGAGATCTTAAAGATGTTTTGAGTTGATTACATAAGACTATTTAACAGTGGTTATGAAAACAGATGAGTTATCCTGAGAGGCTTTACTAGATATTTGTCATCATGAGCTCAGTCTCATAAGTTATTATAATAGAAAATCAGGAAAAACTGCTTATGTGTTTGAATTCAAGTAGCTAAGTCTCAAAATATAATAAAAAACAGTTGCACTACAGATTTTCTTTCAAAATAGCTCAAAAATACCTTGTTGGCAGCAAAGGGAGTAATAATAAAATATCTTCCAAAAAACCTGAAAATAGGAAATAAATTTGCCTTCTGAGAGTTAAACCAGTCATACACACACACACACACACACACACACACACGTGCACACATGCACACATGTGCACGCATGTGAACATGCATAGAATCACACAGAGATTAGGCTAAACCCAATGAGGGAGTAAACTGAGAGATAACCAGTGTGTACCTGAAGACTTTGGGAATACCCCTAACTTCAGTGACCTGGGGGTAATCCAGGAAGGCAATCACCAGAATGTGTTTGTTAATTTAATCCGTTGTATGGAGAAAGTCTGGATGAACAGAGGATGTAGGCAGAGAGCTGTCAGCCTGTAGCCTGGAAAACCTCAACCTAAGAAGCAAGGAGTGGGTAGCACACTCCCAACTACTGTTCAAGAGAGAAGGGGCCTTGGCCTAAGGATTTGAGCTCTCAGGTCTCTGTGGCAAATGTATCTTTGGATAAGTCATCTACCCACCTCTCCTTACTCAGATTTCATGCTCCACATGGCTCCCTGTGTGCTGAAGCCTGATTATAGGAAGCAAAGACTCTGGTCTGCTGATGTGAAGGCTCACCTGTTAGCTGGTTGCATTTATGGTTAAAATGGAATGAATTTGAATTCTGGCTATACAGCAGTCTCTGTGAGCTTGGGTTAGTATGAGTTTACCTGTGAGATAAAGTTCCAGAGCAGAGTGACTTGTGACTTGTGTTGGGTCCATACTAAGTGGCAGACAGTGGACCAGAATTTATACCACAAATCCAGGTTGGCTCTGAGAAGACACTGCCACTAAGGACTGATCTAAACTCAGTTCCCTTTCAAGTTCACCAATTGTATGACTCACATGACATTGAATGAGGCCGGGAGTGTGATACTAGCTGGACTCACCTTCAAGAACCCAAAAGACCCCAGTGGATAAGATGTGGATACTCTAGTCCATGGGTCAGCAAACTTTTTCTGTGAAGGGCCAGAAAACAAATCTATTAGGCTTGTGGACCACATACAGCCTCTATTACATATTTGTTATCTTCTTCTTGTTGTTGTTCTTGTTGTTCTTCTTGTTGTTGTTGTTTTTCGAGACAGAATCTCACTCTGTCACCCAGGCTGGAGTGCAGTGGTGCGATCTCTGCTCACTGCAACTTCCATCTCCCAGGTTCAAGGGATCCTCCTGCCTCGGCCTCTGAGTAGCTGGGATTACAGACATGCGCCACCACGCCCAGCTAATTTTTTGTGTTTGTAGTAGAGATGGGGCTTCACCATGTTGGCCAGGCTCATCTGTAACTCTTGACCTCAAGTTATCCACCCACCTCTGCCTCCAAAAGTGTTGGGATTACAGGCGTGAGCCACTGCGCCCAGCCTTTTTATTATTATTATTATTATTATTATTATTATTATTATTATTATTTTGAGACAAATTCTTGCTCTGTCACCCAGACTGGAGTGCAATGGCATGATCTCATCTCACTGCAACCTCTGCCTCCCAGGTTTAAGCGATTCTCCTGCCTCAGCCTCCATAGAAGCTGGGACTACAGGCATGCACCACCACGCCTGGCTAATTTTTGTATTTTTAGTAGAGACGGGTTTTTGCCATCTTAGTCACTGGTCTGGAAGTCCTGGCCTCAAGTAATCTGTCCACCTTGGCCTCCCAAAGTGCTGGGATTATAGGCATAAGCCACTGCGCCCAGTCTATTATTTATTTTTTATACAACCCTTTGAAAATATGAAAACCATTTTTTGCTCCTGGTACAAAAACAGGCTCCTGGCCACATTTGGCCCAAGGGGATGCAATTCACTGACCCCTGCTCTAGTCCTGAGCTGGCGACTCATTTATGGGGAGACCACAGACAAGCTACTTTAATTAGTTTATTCATAAACAGTACCTTCATAATTTGCCTTATTCCACTCCAGGTGTGTGACCACTAACTTTGCCAGTCTGTGAGGCCAGATAATCAAATATGAAAACTGGGTGGGTCACAGGAGAGTGTTTTGTACTGGCATGGTGCGGGGTGGCTAGCCAAGGAGACATGTGACCCCAAGAGGGGCCGGACAAGAGCTGCTGTCTTTGAGAACACTTTGGAGAACAAGCATTGTCTGAATAAAGTCTCAACTAAAGATAAGACTTCCTAGATAAAGCTAAGGAGAAAATGCTTTTGGTCAGGAATCCCAAAGATCTTTGAGATATTTCCTAAGGGACTCTCAGCTACACACCTACCCTTCTGTGGACTTGTAAACGCCTGGCTCTGTGGGGCCCTATCAGCTCTCTACCATGCATCCAGGTAAAGGGAGCTGCCCTAGGAGTTTGGAGAACATATCCAAATTGCACCTCAATGAATGGGGATCGCTGGAAACTGGATCTTCTGGAACCCAGCTATAGTTAAATAAATTATTTCCTTGAGCGGGGAACAAGACTTAGTGAAAGAAAGGAATTAAACCAACTTTGCTGTTTGTTTTTTTGGGTAAGTTTAGTAGGCAGTCTAAATATATCATTCCTATTACAGCTTTTTCATTACATATTTTATTCTTTGGAATTTAAATCACTTAAAATTTTTATTTACTTTAACTCAAAATATGCAGATGAGCAGATTCATGTATGACCAGAATGTAAACCAGGATCACAGAGCAGCCGGAGAGGTGGTGACAGAACCATCGATGGAACCCTGGGCTCCAGGTTCTGACTCCTATTTTCACTCACTAATTTTTTTTTTTTGAGATGGAGTCTTGCTCTGTCGCCAGGCTGGAGTAGAGTGGCACAATCTCTGCTCACTGCAAGCTCCGCCTCCCGGGTTCACGCCATTCTTCTGTCTCAGCCTCCCAAGTAGCTGGGAGTACAGGCGCACGCTGCCATGCCTGGCTAATTTTTTTTTTTTTTAATGGTATTTTAGTAGAGACAGGGTTTCACCATGTTGCCCTAGCTGGTCTCGAACACCCGAGCTCAGGCAATCCGCCCACCTCGGCCTCCCAAAGTGCTAGGATTACAGACGTAAGCCATCGCGCCCGGCCTATTTTCACTCTTTATTGCAGTGATTCTTGAATGCTGCTATGGATAGGGATGGGGACAGGGGTGGGGTGGGGAGCTCTGTGTAGTTTGAAAAAGATTTTATCCCTGTTAATTCCCAGTGGAAATTCACTGATCTACAATTCATCTGATTTTGCCTTGGTCTTCTTGAAACCTCTTCAAACAAAACAAAACAAAAAAATAACACTCAAGCTGGAGAATGGTTCTACTTATTCAGAAGTGGCCAGCAGAAGAGCTATAGAGAACAGAGTGATTCCCAAATCAGCAAACCCCATGAGCTTGGATGATTCAAACCAAGCTGTCGCCGGGATCAGCTTCATTCACTGGCAAGAACCCGCCCAATAAATCGCAAGATAGAACCACTTTAAGTCCTCTCTTTTCTAAAATAGGAGTGTGTCTCCTACTCATTTTGTTCATTTCAAAAGGATCAAAGACAAGTAAATTTTTTTAGACTATGAATCTGTGGCAAATGGGTAACTTGAATAAGATAAAATCATTCTCCATCAAAGGAAGGTGGATTGAAGGGGTAACACACTCTCAAACTACCCGCAACAACACCTCCCCCCAACAAATAAAATGTAAATGTGAGATTTTAAGTAGGTTAATAACATAAAACACTCAGAGGAGCCAAGAAGAGACTCTGGCATCAACATTATAGAAGTACTATGGCTGGCCAGGTGCGGTGGCTCACACCTGTAATCCTGCACTTTGGGAGGCAGAGGCAGGCAGTTCGTTTGGGCTCAGGAGTTTGAGACCAGCCTGGGCAACATGGTGAAAACCCATCTCTACTAAAAATACAAAAATTAGCTGGGGGTGGTTGTGCGTGCCTGAGGCTGAGGTATGAGAATCTCTTGAACCCGGGAGGTGGAGGCTGCAGTGAGATGAGATCATGCCCCTGCACTCCAGCCTGGGCAACAGGGTGAGAGCCTGTCCCAAAAAACAAACAAACAAAAAACAAAACAAAAAAAGTAACTATAGCTGCATACAGTTTAGCTATTAAACACCTTATTTGAAATAATGTGAGCCGCTAACTAGAATCATATACATTTTAGAATTTAGGTCGACCCTAGAGAAATTTTCCAGGTGAAGAAACTGAATATCTGCTCTGGACGCAGAATCTGAGGGCTGGGCTGGACCAGGAGCCTTGTGCGTGCCTCTAGCATAGCACATAGCATAGAATGCTCTAGCCTGAGCTCCTGGACTGCAGACCATATTCTTTCTCTTTCTATTCCTAACAGCTAGGAAAGTGTCTGGCGCTTAGTAGGTGTCTAGTAATTTTTAATACACCAGTTGGAAGAAGCAAGAGTGTAAATCCTAGGACAATAAGAGAAAAAGTTTAGAGGAAAAATCCTTCTCTGATCTCTCAGAGCATGGTAGGGCGAAATTACCCCAAAAAGCAAAAGTGACCTCAGTGTGGCTTTTTTTAGGTGAACCTCCCAGTCACAGGTAAGTATTTGCCAGACTGCCCAGAGCGATCACTTCTGTCATCGCTATTAATAACATGGCTTGCTTATTTTGTCTTATTGGAGTATTAGAATGAGTTCACTTGCAATTAAGTTCCCTGCTTTAATTACAGCAGAAATAAAAAATAGGTAGACAAGTGACTTTCATTCAAGTATTTCAGACATGTTTCACTTTTGAAATCTGAAGTATTAAATATTAAGCATCTTGTTTGAAGTTAAAAGTACAGATTATCTCATCACGGAAAAGATTAAATTATAATGCTATCTACCTTATGATTAAAATGGCTTGTCAGATTTTAGTAGCTGTTGAAAGAATCATATCTTTTCTGTATCTAAATTGTTTGATTCTTTTCCCTGAAAAGACAAAAAATACCGTGAACCCTTAATTTCAATAGCACAAAGAATTGTGCCTTCCATATTTATAAACCAGCCACAGGACAAAGGGAAACAATATGGAATTAAACATTACATTCTCTTAAGAAATATTTTCTTTCAGGGTTAAATAAATATCTTTATGCTTTTCCATTTTCTTTTTGAAACAGAGTAACCCTATGACATTTCAAAGTGAAATAGCTACACACACAATTTTTATAGAGAGGCTAGGATGACTTTTTTTTAGAACAAGTATAATTAACCACACACACAGCATATTATTCATTGTCCTATGACCTTTTATTTAATTTCATATTCTGAAAATGTTTGCTTCTAAATTTACTCAGGAAAATGAGGAAATGTTATGGTTGCTTTGCTGGCTGTATATTACAGTGAAGTATACCCAGAATGGTTTTCAAATGTAGATGTTAAAAAATATCTGTTGTTTGCCTGCTTTGGCATGTAAAAGTTTTAACAAAAGCATAGTAATTTGGATTTATCAGAGAGACCCCCCAGCCAAGGTCTTCAAAAATTCTAAGTAACTATAAAGTATGGTGCCCGGTGGGGTCAAGGAGAGGAGCACACCCACTGGAGTACGGGACAAAAGTCAGTGGCTTTGGATGTCCCTGAAAAGTCTCCTTCCCCCTGCCCTCCCAGCCCCCACTGCTGTCCTTCCTATTCCATTGCCTCCAGGGTCCATGATGTGGCTGTGTGGCGGGAGTAGATCAGGGGTTAAACATATATACATATATTTTAAAAGTTGTAAAATCCCTTCCACTAAAACAAAAACATAAACAAAAACCCTCTATTACACAGCAGGTGAAAAGGACCTCCTGTGGTTGATCTGTGGTTTGGGGGTGGGGGTCAGAGGCACCTAGGAATATATGAAATGAAATTTTGGAATCTCTGCTCTAATATGCCTGCCATTACAAGTTGGGTCACTTTCCTTACTCTAGTGTGATGCCATTGCCTAGGCCAGAGCCACTTATATGGGAGTGCAGCTTGTGCCCTGTGCCAGGTGCCCAACCAAGAGGGACATTAGGGATAAAAATCCAGCCCTGGCTTCTCTTGCTGCGTCTGGCTCCCTGGTGCAGGGCTGATTCTGCAGGGAAGAAAGGGCCTCCTTTGTATTATGTCTGCCTGAGGGGGATGTAGTTTTCTTTTTCTTTTTCTTTTTTTTTTTTTTCCGAGACAGAGTCTCTCGCCCAGGCCGCAGTGCAGTGGCACGATCTCGGCTCACTGCAAGCTCCGCCTCCTGGGTTCACGCCCTTCTCCTGCCTCAGCCTCCCGAGTAGCTGGGACTACAGGCGCCTGCCACCATGCCTGGCTAGTTTTTTGTATTTTTAGTAGAGATGGGGTTTCGCTGTGTTAGCGAGCATGGTCTCAATCTCCTGACCTTGTGATCCGCCTGCCTTGGCCTCCCAAAGTGCTGGATTTACAGGCGTGAGCCACTGCACCTGGCCTTTCTTTTTTTGGGGGGAGGGGGACAGAGTCTTGCTCTGTCACCTATGCTGGAGTGCAGTGGCACGATCTCAGCTCACTGCAACCTCCGCCTCCCAGGTTCAAGCGATTCTCTTGCCTCAGCCTCCTGAGTAGCTGGGATTACAGGCACCCGCCACCTCACCCAGCCAACAGGGTTTCACCATGTTGGCCAGGCTGGTCTGGAACTCCTGACCTCAAGTGATCTGGCTGCCTCAGCCTCCCAAAGTGCTGGATTTACAGGCGTGAGCCACTGCACCTGGCCGAAAGCCAAAACATTTTAAACAAAATGTGCTCTATACTTCAATCTTGACAAATCCATAACATCATTAAAAACATTTGTTTTGTTTTGTTTTGTTTTGAGACAGGAGTTTCACTCGTTGCCCAGGCTGGAGTGCAACGGCGCGATCTCAGCTCACTGCAACCTCCGCCTCCCCAGTTCAAGCGATTCTCCTGCCTCAGCCTCCTGAGTCACTGGAATTACGGGCGCCTGACACCACGCCCAGCTAATTTTTTGTATTTTTAGTAGACATGGGGTTTCACTATGTTGGCCAGGCTGGTCTCGAACTCCTGACCTCATGATCCTCCTGCCTCAGCCTCCCAAAGCACTGGGATTACAGGTGTGAGCCACTGTGCCTGGTCCATTAAAAACATTTGTAAAGCTATGGTGTTGATAAAGTATTATGAAAGACTGCAAAAAAAGATGGCTAATTTTTAGTTATTATTGCACATGTTTAGAGGAGCTAATGACATTTTCTATGATTAATAAAAGACATTATTTATGTTTTTATTTATGTATTCCACAACATTTATTTTATTTTCTCCATTTCAGGAAAACCACTATGTTGTTACAATAAAGATTTTCATGTAATTTGTGTTCAATTGATAGTAATAATGTAACAAGTTAAAAATGAAGGTAATTGTGTTTAAAATTTGAGCATATTTTCATCAAAATGTAAGTTAAAGTGATTGTAAATTTTAAGATCATAATTACTTTGTATATCTTCAAGAAAATTATTGTTTTAAAATATTTATGCCTATTAAAATTAGAAGGCAAAATAAAAATATATGAATACCAACATTTTAAATAAAAATCATTTAAATAAAGCTGAACTTTTTTTTTTTTTTAAGAGGTCTCACTGTATTGCCCAGGCTGATCTTGAAGTCCTTGGCTCAAGCTATCCTCTCACCTAGGCCTCCCAAGTGCTGGATTACAGGCATGAGCCACCATCCTGGACAATATGGTGAAACCCCATCTCTACAAAAAATACAAAAAATAGCCGGACGTGGTGGTGCACGCCTGTAATCCCAGCAATTTGGGAGGCTGAGGTGCGAGGATGGTTGAGACTAGGAGGTGGAGGTTGCAGTGAGCTGAGATTGTGCCACTGCACTCTAGCCTGGACAACAGAGCCAGACCTTGTCTTGGGGGAAAAAACGTAATAAGAATTGTTTGCTATTGCAAAATGTCCATGGTCACAATGCACAATGTGCAACTGTTGCAAATGCCACTTAATTCCCAAGTACCTCCAGAACTCGGAGTTGGAAAACAGAGAAGCTGGAAAAGGGATCCTCAGCATTCCTAGCCAATGATACTTGGTAATGCAAGAATCTATTGCATTCATATTCTCTGAAAGGAGGAATTTGACAACTTAATTAATTTGTCCTTTTTTACGTAAGAGTTTCTGCCACTCAAATCTTTGCAAAGCCATTTTTTTCCCCTAATGTCAGCAGCAACACAACCCACAAAGCTTTTTGTTTTGAAGACATAGGGCAAGAGAGATACAGAAGTGTTTCTGTGAATCCTGAATGGTGTTATCTCAAGAAGAAATGTTTAGGGTCATGAGTTGCACTGGACCAGCATGGAGGGGCTGGATCCCAGGGCCAGAGGCACCCCTATGTCTTTTTTTTTTTTTTTTTTTTTTTTTTTTCTCCTGAGAAAGAGCCTTGCTTTGTTACCCAGGCTGAAGTGCAATGGTGCAATTTCAGCTCACTGCAACCTCCACCTCCCGGGCTCAGGTGATTCTCTTGGCTCAGCCTCCTGAGTAGCTGGGATTACAGGCACACGCCACCACGCCCAGCTAGTTTGTATTTTTAGTAGAGACGGGGTTTCACCATGTTGCCCAGGCTGGTCATGAACTCCTGACCCCAGGTGATCCACATGCCTCGGCCTCCCAAAGTGTTGGGATTACAAGCGTGAGCCACTGTGCCCGGCCACCTCCATGTCTTTTAATCAGCTTTGTGTGTGTTTGTTAAACGTGGAATACAGGTCAGAGGTCTCTGCTGTTTGCATTTCACAGTGCTACTATCTGGAAGTTTAGGATAAATCATTCTTTTAAAAAAAGGCTGTGTCAGAATTCAGGCACAGATATTTACATGGTAGAATGCCCACTTTAATTAGCAAATTACAAATAGAAGTCGTGCTGAAATTTTGCCTCTCATTTTTCTGTGAGAGTAGTTTTCTTTTTTTTCTTTTTTTTAGACGTAGTCTGTCTCTGTCATGCAGGCTGGAGTGCGATGGTGCGATCTCAGCTCACTGCAACCTCCACCTCCCGTGTTCAAGCGATTCTCCTGCCTCAGCCTCCTGAGTAGCTGGGATTACAGGCGTGTACCACCACGCCCAGCTAATTTTTATGCTTTTAGTACAGACGGGGTTTCATCATGTTGGTCAGGCTGGTTTTGAACTCCTGATCTTGTGATCTGCTCGCCTCAGCCTCCCAAAGTGCTAGGAGACATTTAACGTTTTGAGGAATTGCTAGATTATTTTTCAAACTGGCTATACCATTTTGCATTCCTGCCAGCCATGTGTGAGGGTTCTGGTTTCTCCATATCCTCACCAACACTTGTTATTATCTGTCTTTTTTATTATAGCCATCCTGGTGAGTGGGAAGTGGTAATCTCATCATGGTTTTGATTTGCATTACTCTGATGGCTAGTGATGTTGATAGTTCTTTTTATCTAGCTATTTCTGAAGAGAGAGAAAGAATGACTATGTTTGTGAACATCTTCATTCAATACTGTGCTCATGGTCTTTAGATATAGATTAATTCATAGAATGTAAAATTAGAAGGGACCTTAGACCCAGGTCAGGTACCTGCTTTATACCATAGCTCACCTGCAGTGCTGGGTGTCAACTACTTCCACTAGTCAGAAAGTTCTCATCTTTGGTGGGTTTTATTTTTATTTTTTGATGGAGTCTTGTTCTTATTGTCCAGGCTGGAGTGGAGTGGCATGATCTCAGTTCATTGCAACCTCTGCCTCCTGGGTTCTAGATATTCTCCTGCCTCAGCCTCCCGAGTAGCTGGGATGACAGGTGCCTTCACGCCTGGCTAATTTTTGTATTTTTAGTAGAGACAGGGTTTCACCACGTTGGCCAGGCTGGTCTCAAACTCCTGACCTCAGGCAATCTGCCCCCTTTGGCCTCCCAAAATGCTGGGATTATAGGCATGAGCCACTGTGCCCGGCTGACTTTTTTTTTTTTTTAATGAAATCTTTTTCTGAAACTTTTTTCCAGAAACTTTTAGTCACTAAGCCAAGCTTTGCTCTCTGAAGCAAGGCAAAGCTCTCTCTTCATAACTCAGCATTCATCTCCTTCATTCGGCTAAATCCACAGATATATTTTTAAAGACAGCTTTGGGCTGGGTGCGGTAGCTCACCCCTATAATCCCAATACTTTGGAAGGCCAAGGTGGGTGGATCACTTGAGGTCAGGAGTTCGAGACCAGCATGACCAACATGGCGAGACTCTGTCTCTACTAAAAAATACAAAAATTAGCCAGGTGTGGTGGTGGGCGCCTGTAATCCCAGCTTCTCAGGAGGCTGAGGCAGGAGAATGGCTTAAACCTGGGAGGTGGAGGTTGCAGTGAGTGACATCTTGCCATTGCGCTCCAGCCTGGACGATATGGTGAGATCCTGCCTAAAAACAAAAACAAACAAACGAAAAAACCAGTTTTGGCAGCCCACTAAGTTGTTGCCTTTTTCTTTTTCCTTTAGAGTTAATGAGCCCAGCCTGAGGCTGCTATGCAGATCTGGCAACACTTACCAGGCTGTAGCAGCTCAGCTGGGATTCACCTGGAAAGTGGGTAGATCAGAAGGTTCCAGACCAAAGTCTGGGTGGAGGAGGCTTAAGTAACTTGAAGAAACATACTCTGAAATTGCCCGCATGTTTTTTCCAGTCACTCTATTTAGTTTGAAATTTCAAACCATTTTAAACAAGGGTATGTGGTTTTTATGTTTACTGAAAAGGAACAATTTTTTCTTTTTTCTCTTTGAGACAGAGTCTTACTCTGTCCCCCAGGCTGGAGTGCAGTGGTGCGATCTCAGCTCACTGCAGCTTCCCTCTGCCAGGTTCAAGCAATTCTCCTGCCTTAGCCTCTCGAGTAGCTGGGGCTACAGGCCTGTGCCACCATGCCCAGATGATTTTTGTATTTTATTTTTCAAGTAGAGATGGGGTTTCGCTATTTTGGCCAGGCTGGTTTTGAACTCCTGACCTCAAGTGATTCTCCCGCCTCAGCATGCCAAAGTGCTGGGATTACAGACGTGAGCTACCGCGCCCTGCCAGGAGCAAATGTTTTTAAAAATGTTGAGAATGTAGTCTATAAAAAGAGGGTCTCTGCCCTCCTGCTTACTGTATAAAAAGATACGTTTAGGTCATTTCACTCAACCCGGCATACTTTGAAAAGGCGCCTGCTGTCGCTTTGTGCACATGTGACTGCATAAGTGTGCGTCTTTGTGTGTTGCCATCAGTCCATTTGTCCCCCCAGTCTTCCATGAACCTGGCCTTGCCTCTCCGAGTTACTGGTCCCCAGTTCCCACTCTTCACACCTCTAAAGAAAGAGGATTCCAGCTGAGCGCGGTGGCTCACGCCTGTAATCCTAGCACTTTGGGAGGCCAAGGAGGGCAGATCATGAGGTCAGGAGATCGAGACCGTCCTGGCTAACACGGTGAAACCCCGTCTCTACTAAAAATACAAAAAATTAGCCGGGCGTGGTGGCGGGTGCCTGTAGTCCCAGCTACTAGGGAGGCTGGGGCAGGAGAATGGCGTGAACCCGGGAGGCGGAGCTTGCAGTGAGCCGAGATCACGTCACTGCACTCCAGCCTGGGCAACAGAGCGAGACTCCGTCTCAAAAAAAAAAAAAAAGAGGATTCCTTCTCCTGCTTCTACTCAGACCCTGGAACCCAACCATCATCTTTGTTCTCTCAAACCTTCCTCCATCTGGTGGATCTAGAGGAATCCCTCCTTTGTTGTGGGCAAAATGCCTTTCACCCTAAGTTAATTTCTCTCTCTCTCTCTCTCTCTCTTTTTTTTGAGACACACTTTCACTCTTTTGCCCAGGCTGGAGTGCAGTGGCGCGATCTTGGTTTACTGCAACCTCTGCCTCCTGCCTCAGTCTCCCGAGTAGCTGGGATTACAGGCACGTACCACCAGGCCTAGCTAATTTTTGTATTTTTGGTAGAGACAGGGTTTCGCCATGTTGGCCAGGCTGGTCTCTAACTCCCGACCTCAAGTGATCCGCCCACCTTGGCCTCCCAAAGTCCTGGGATTACAGGTGTGAGCTATTGTGCCCAGCCATAATTACTCTTATTTTGTATTCCCGACCCTACATCCCTCCTCATCCAAACTGATGCTTTTCTCTTAAAGGCACCCTGCCCCATTCCTTCCTGTCCCTGGAATGCACCAGACTTATGCTTCTCCTTTTTGCTGGGCTGGTCTCTCCCATTGGCACACTCTTGCAGCTGTTGTCCCCTGGGCTCACTCCTCTTCATGACTCAGATCCCAGCTCAGCTATCACTTCCTTTGAGAGGCCTTCCCCAATGGCCCTCAGACAAAGCCCAATGACAGCCGGGATTTCTGTCTATTTCATTCATGGTAGTATTCTCGGCATCTAGAACAGTTCCGGCACATGGCAGGCACTTGATGAATCCTTGACACTAAAGGAGCTTGTGTAAAAAAGTACTAGGTTGCGTAATTTCTGCCATTTTGAGTGAGGCCAGAAAAGAACTGAGAAATCAACAAAGAAAGGAGAAGCAAACGAGGGGGAAAAGACATGGCAGGGCAAAGGACAAAAATGGGTAGTTGGAGAACAAACAGGGGACAGGGTTTATGGCCTGTTCTCTCCTTTCCCTGAAATGGAAAATGCTTTCTGCTGTGATTAAAGCAAACACCAGGCTTAACTTGAAGTAAAGGACATCAAAAAGAAAAAAATATATAGAAAAGAGGACAATCCCCCCATTCTTCTAGCTTCCGCTTTCAGTTTTCATCAACAAAATAAAAATTGGTTAGATAGGTGTCAATTCCCACTGCACATGAGAAAATTGCTTATTTAAAAGTATCAGCATAAATGGGATCCAAAATCAAGGGGCACAGTTTTGTCTAAAAGAAAGAAAGAAAAGCCGTCCCTTCTAAAGTGCAGATTATTCTACCAGACTAGGTATGAAAGGGGAAAAAAATAAAAAAAAAAGTGCACATTATTTTCTAAAACTTTTTGGCTACTCTGTAAGATATTTTGTTCACAATTGAGTGAATTACCGGCCATGGCAGAGACTGACAATATATAAAGGATGTTCCCAACTCAGCCTGTTGTGCAACCATTCTTGATTTCTTGTGTCAAACTGGATCTTCTGCTTCCCTTGCCAACTGAAATCAAATGGATGTGTTAGGTCATAGCACTACTATGGAATAGTTTCCACACTTGTTTTTCTTTCTCCTTTCTCACCTCCTGTTTATTACATGTAACAAGTCAGATTGTAATTTGAAAGTGAGGAACTAAGGCAGCTTGCTAGCACGCTGAGGCTGAGCACTGCTGCTCATATTGTTTAGACTTTTGGTGACAGCCAGAGGGTATTAGTCACATGGTTGTTTGGGATGTGCAATCATCCGAGGCTAAAATGACATCACCAGAGTGCATTACACTGGAACTTAGCAAATCTGCACTGCAGGATTTGCCAAGGGAAATTAAACTGGTAGCTTTCTAAACTCCTCCCATCCCTCATGTGATTAGTTATATTTTTCTAGTGACTTCTGTGCTGAAGAGGAACCTTGTCCAGTTCTTCTTTCTGGTGTGTGTAAATGTCACTGAAACTAAGGCTTCATGCATGTGAAATCGTTACCAGTAAAAATGTTTTTTCTTCCTCAATTTACTTATCCAATGCTTTAGACCTCTGTACATGCTATGCTTTCTTACCTCTCTGGCTGGTGGTGTGTATTGTTTCCTCTGTTTGACATGCTCTTCTCCCTAGTCCTCGCCCCTCTGCCCCTTGTCTATCTGGTGAACTCTTACTCATCCTTTAAGACCATTTCAAAATATTTCTATATGAGTTTTCCTTTACCCCCTCCTCTTCTGATTCAGATAGTAACTTCATCCTGTCTTCCATCATTCATTTTAAGAGTGTATATCCCTTGGGCCGGGTGTGGTGGCTCACACCTGTAATCCCAGCACTTTGGGAGGCCGAGGCAGGCAGATCACAAGGTCAGGAGATCAAGACCACCCTGGCCAACATGGTGAAACCCCGTCTCTACTAAAAAACACAAAAAATTAGCCGGGTGTGGGGGTGCGTGCCTGTAATCCCAGCTACTTGGGAGGCTGAAGCAGGGGGATCCTTGAACCTGGGAGGCAGAGGTTACAGTGAGCCGAGATTGTGCCACTGCACTCCAGCCTGATGACAGAGCAAGATGCCGTCTCAAGAGAAAAAAAAAAAAAGAGTGTATATCCCACTGTTATAACCTTTATCACATTATACATTATTTCCATATGGAAGTTTTATGGGGGGAGAAACTATGTCTCCACATCCTTGTTTCCCTAGCATTTGGCACAGTCTTGGCAAATAGTAAGCCCTCAACATATGTTTATTCTCTCCTTCCTTCCTCAGTTTTTTTATCCTCATCACCATGTATGTTTTCAATTTGAAACAAAGTTTTATCAATTTTTAGATTACATACTTTGAAGATATGTTATTAAGGACATATAAGTTTAGAGTTGTTATAGCTCTCCAGTGAAAAAAAAATTTTTTTTTTTGAGACAGAGTCTCGATCTTTTGCCCAGGCCAGACTACAGTGGCGCTATCTCAGCTCACTGCAAGCTCCGGCTCCCGGGTTCATGCCAATCTCCTGCCTCAGCCTCCCGAGTAGCTGGGACTACAGGCGCCCGCCACCACGCGGGCTAATGTTTTGTATTTTTAGTAGGGACGGGGTTTCACCGTGTTAGCCAGGATGGTCTCGATCTCCTGACCTTGTGATCTGCCCTCCTCGGCCTTCCAAAGTGCTGGGATTACAGGCGTGAGACACTGCACCCGGCCTCCAGTGAAATTTTTATCAAATATAGTGACTCATTTCATCCCTAAAAATGCTTTTTGTCTTAAACTCATTTGTCTCATATTAATAACAACAACATTAGCTTTTTTGAAGGGGTGGCTATTTGCCAGATATATTTTATTTTCACTTTTATTTTTAATTTCTATTAGAGACAGAGTCTTGCTCTGTTACCCAGGCTGGAGTGCGGTGGCATTTGGCTCACTGCAGCCTTGAACCCCTTGGGCTCAGGCACTCCTTTTGCCTCAGGCTCCCGAGTAGCTGGGACTACAGGTACATGCTGCTGTGACCAGCTAATTTAAAAAATATATATTATTATTATTACTTTTTTGAGACAGGGTCTTGCTCTGTCACCCAGGCTGGAGTGCAGTGGTGCAATCACAGTTCATTGAAGCCTCAAACTCCTGGGCTCAAGCAAGTCTCCCATCTCAGCCTCCCCAGTAGCTGGGAGCATAGGCACATACCACGACGCCTGGCTAATTTTTGTATTTTTTGTAGAGATGGGATCTTACTATGTAGCCAGGTCTAGTCTTCAACTCCCAGTACTACAAAGCACTGGGATTACAGATGTGAGCCACTGTGCTCAGCCTCTATTTTTTACATACTTATACTTTCTGTCATTCTTGATCCTTACAGTTTAGCAAGCCTCTTATAAAAAGTATATATCTGGATTTCTAATATTTAAAACTCTAACTTTTTTTGTACTTTTAAAGGCCAATTTGATCCATTTACATTTACTATGATTACTGAAATTTGGATTCATTTCTATAACCTTATTTTGTGCTTCCTATTTGTACTGCTTTTTCTATGCTTCTTTCTCTCTTACTCTAATGTTGTAACAAACTGAAACTTTGTGATTCTTCCTTTTTCATAAACGACTTTGATGTTCGACTCATATGGGAGGACTGGTCTAGCAGGCTTCTATCTTCTGGTTTCTTAAAAGTTTCTTCTTTTAATTAGGACAATGAGAAGATTTCAGAGGATATTTATGACTAAATATTGCATCATCAAGAAAGAAAAACACTGTAGTCCCAGCACTTTGGGAGGCCAAGGCGGGCGCATTGCTTGAGGCCAGGAGTTCGAGACCAGTGTGGCCAACATGGCAAAACCCTGTCCCTACTAACAAAAAAAAAAAAGAAAGAAAGAAAGAAAGAAAGAAAAATAGCTAAGGGGAGACTTGGGAAAAAATTTTACTTTTCAACAATTCTCACTAGAGACTGAGGCAGTTTAACAGCCAAGTAGCTCATTCTCAAAATGATGAGTCAACATGGTGTGCAATGCTGGTTACAGTATAATGAGATCTGTGTAATATGTCTGCTCCCAGTGTGAGGATGACACCTAAGGGAAGGTCCTTCTGTGCTCAGCATGCCTGTACTGCTGTGTGCTACGTGACTTCATGGAGAAGCTCCCATGACTTGCTTCTGTTCAACTTACTGTAAAACCCTCATTCTTTTTTTTTTTTTTGAGACGGAGTTTCGCTCTTGTCACCCAGGCTGGAGTGCAATGGCGTGATCTCGGCTTACTGCAACCTCCGCCTCCCAGTTGTTTCAAGCAATTCTTCTGCCTCACCCTCCTGAGTAGCTGGGATTACAGGTACTTGCCAACACGCCCAGCTAATTTTTGTATTTTTAGTAAAGATGGAGTTTCACCATGTTGGCCAGGCTGGTCTTGAACTCCTGACCTCAGGTAATCCTCCTGCCTTGGCCTCCCAAAGTGCTGAGATTACAGGCATCAGCCACTGTGCCCAGCCTAAAACCCTCATTCTTTCAGTGAGCCATCATGGTATTTGTTTGGCCTCCTCTTGGCTAGAAATCAACAGAAAAGGGAGCCTTTATATTGTGTGACAGGACTTAGTTATAGTTGCACTGCCTGATGATCCAGCATATACTGTATCAATTTCAAGATTATTATTTAAATAAAAATACATAAGTTTGACATACTTAACAGTGACTATGTTTTATAATCTTTTGATGTTTCCTCCATACCTCTGGAAAAACAATTATACCATAGCAGTTAATAGCCTGGACTCTGGAGTTGCAAACAGACTGGGTTTTTTAAAATGTTACTTATTTTTATTTTTTATTTTTAAAATTTTGTTTTTAATTGACACAATAATTGTACATATTTATGGAGTATAGTGTGACGTCACAGACTGGGTTTTTGTTTGTTTGTTTGTTTTTTGTTTTTTGTTTTTGAGATGGAGTTTTGCTCTGTTGCCCAGGCTGGAGTGCAGTGGCGCCATCTCGGCTCACAGCAACCTCTGCCTCCCAGGTTCAAGCAATTCTCCCATCTCAGCCTCCCGAGTAGCTGGGACTAGAGTCACGCACCACCACACCTGCCTAATTTTTGTATATTTTAGTGGAGACGGGGTTTCACCATGTTGGCCAGGCTGGTCTTGAACTCCTGATCTCAAGTGATCTGCCTGCCTTGGCCCCCGCAAAGTGCTGGGATTACAGGCATGAGCCACTGTGCCCACCCAACAGACTGGGTTTTGAATCCTGATTTTTCCGTGTATTAGCTGTGTGAGGTAAGGCAAGTTACTTAATCATGATAAACCTCAGTTTCCTTATATTCTAAGTGAAGCTAAATCTAAACATAGGGTTTTTATGAGAATTTAACAAATTGAAACATATAAAGCCTTTGGCCTCAAGTTAGTACTAAAAAAAAAAGAAGTAGCTATTATAATGATTTTTTTAAAAAAATGAATAAGAAGCTTCTTGAAGGAGTTCCTTCTGCGACTCCCTGTTTCTCAGCACAGAGTACTAGGCATAGGAAGGAGTCTTGGGCTGGAGTTGGGCTAGAGGAGTATTGATCTTTCCACTTCAGAGATTTAACAAGCTGAGTATGGTGGAAATCCCTTTGACCTTTATTTATTTTTTATTTTTTTGTGAGACAGAGTCTCGCTCTGTCACCCACACTGGAGTGTAGTGGCGTGATCTCGGCTCACTGCAAGCTCCGCCTCCCGGGTTCACGCCATTCTCCTGCCTCAGCCTCCTGAGTAGCTGGGATTACAGGCGCCCGCCACCACGCCCTGCTAATTTTTTGTATTTTTAGTAGAGACAGGGTTTTGCCATGTTAGCGAGCATGGTCTCAATCTCCTGACCTCGTGATCTGCCCGCCTCGGCCTCCCTTTGAACTTTTAAGATGTCTTGAGGAGGTCAGGTGTGTGACTCATACCCTCATGTGTGTCATCCTGAATCAACAGATATCAGTGTGTATCTGGATCGTTGCTGCAATGATTGTGTTGCAAACCTGTTGCTTCTGCAGACATGACTTCTTTGATAAGGCTGGCATGATCTTATATCCTCAAGTTCTGATCTCTTCTGCAAACCCAGTTAGAAAGTTATGAGGTAGCAGAGTGCTGCTAACCTCATCTCCAGAAATCTCTACTTCCCCAGGTAGGGGAAACCCTGTCCTGGGGTGCTGAGTTAGAATTAGGAATATATTAGATTGGTGCAAAAGTAATTGCGGTTTCATAATGGCAAAAACCACAATTACCTTTGCACCAACCTAATACATTTTTTCCTATTATGAACATGATTATTTGTAGGTGATATGTACATCAGGCTCACTGCTATTAATAATGGGTAAAGGCTGGGCACAGTGGCTCACATCTGTAATCCCAGCACTTTGGGAGACTGAGGTGGGAGGCAACATAGGGAGACTCTGTCTCTTAAAATAAGAAAATTAAAAAAAAAGGAATAAACAATGGGTAAAATAAGACTATTAGGACATAGCCTGAGATCCTAACCTCTTTAAGCAACATGATTTCCTATGGGAAATGTGTTATCAGTTCCAAATAATTGATTTACAGGTAAAACATCAAAACATAAGCCATTAGAAAAAAAAAGGGCTGCAATCCTTCACATGTTCAATATAGGAAGAGGGAAAAAATCCTGCAGAGCAGTCAAAGTGTAGGAACAGTTGGATACTGTGCATTTTTCTAAACTGGAGGTCAATCAGGACAACAGATGAGCAGCTTGCTGCAGAGAGCAACACTGGCTTCTTAGTGATCACCAAGACAGAGACATTGAATGAGATTTGGCTCCATAGCCACTCCTCTGCCCTTGCTATGTTCGGATGCCTCCTTATTCCTTAGAGAGTCCTCCTTGAGAAGGGAAGGCCACCTTCCTGCTCAGGATGCTCTGGAAGCTTCTGAGTACTGCTGAGAGGGGCCTCTGTGCCTACACTCCCTCACCCTAAATTGACCTGGCTATAAGCAGCTCTCCAAACTTTCTTTGCCAGATCCCTCTCTAACCTCTTGTCACTCTTATCTCTGACTGCCATGGGCATGGATCGCTCATGAGTCAGTCAAGAAACAGGTAGATGCTAAGAGTCCACTGTTGCTCAGGATTCTTCTAGGCTCTGTGAGTACAGAAAAGAAAAAGATAGAATCTCTGCTCTCAAAAGAATTTACAAACTAGTTTGGGAAGCAGCGTATGCTAGGAGTTCAAACACAGGATCCACGTCAGTCAGCCCTGACCAGAATCTCAGGTCTACCGTCTCCTAGCTGTGTATTTTGAGTCTCAGTTTTTACATTTGTAAAGTGGGGATGATAAAAGTGCTATCTCAGAGGGCTGGCATGAGGATTGTGTTGCAAGATAAAGTATTTAGCAGAGGCTGCACATAGTAAGTGCTCGATAAATGTTAGCTATTATTATCATCATTATTCAGCAAGTCCCAGATGGGATATCAACTAGTCTGGGCCATGTAGGAACCTAATAACACCCTCCTCAGTCTTCTCAGACCTGGGGGAGGAGGTACTGCCTTGTGGGCCACAAAAATAATGGGGATGGACTGGATACCCCCGGAGAAGGGCATTGGGGATACACCAAGGTGCTGCTCTTGACTCCCTGGTGAAGGCAGTCTGCCTGTCTTGGCTCAGTTCAGCACCAATCACCTTGTTGGGCTTGGAAACTAAACAATGGGAACTTCTCCTGCCTTTGAAGAATTTGCCAGCTAGGTGGGGGTTCAGTACACGCACACAAGATGCAGCTTTAACATAATGAGGAAGAAGCATATTAATTAACAAGAACAGGCTGGGCGCAGTGGCTCATGCCTGCAATCCCAGCACTTTGGGAGGCTGAGGAGGGCGGATCATCTGAGATCAGGAGTTTGAGACCAGACTGGCCAACATGGTGAAACCCCTGTCTCTACTAAAACAAAAAAAACAAAAAACAACAACAAAAAAACAAAAATTAGCCAGGTGTGGTGGTGGGTGCCTGTAATCTCAGCTACTCAGGAGGCTGAGGCAGAAGAATCTCTTGAACCTGGGAGGTGAAGGTTGCAGTGAGCTGGGATTGTGCCATTGCACTCCAGCCTGGGTGACAGAGCAAGACTCTGTCTCAAAAAAAAAAGACCAAAATGACATGGTAAAAACTTGATATGCCTACAATAAATGTTTGGGGCAAGAAATGCTTATTGATACTTCTACGTTCTGGACTTCTGGGTAAAATATTCTGATTACGTTAATACCACCCATAGCTCTGTGGCAATAACAGCAGAAAGGCCCTTTTCTTACCACCTTCCCACCTCCATCTCTTTGTTCCCTGTGTCTGTTTCTCTCCCCAGACAAACTGCGGCCTGGACCAGCTGGTGAAACATAATTCTGAATCCTGCCCACAGCCTTCGGTGGTTTTGGATGAAAGGCCAGCGCCTTGGGAGCCCTGCGTTTGATTTCAAGTTTTAAGGCCGGCACTGGTGGAGCAATGAATGGTGAAAGCTCTCCCCTTAAAGGAGCACAGTTGCCTTTAGGTGACTGCTAACTCAGGCTTTTGCTGAGGACAGTGTTTACTTTGTGAGCTTAATGACAGGGCTGGCTTTCTGGGAGTGTTGCAATGAAACAGACTCAGACACAGGCCATCATGGGCCTCCTCCCTAGCAAGGCCGCCACGGCTGGCATCTCAAGAGCAGTCCGTTGAACTTGGGATTTGGGTGTGAGACACAGTTTCATCAGAAGAATTTAAACCAAAGTCTACATTTGCCCTCTAGATAAATGTGTGTGTTCAGCAGCAACCACAACTCCTTGCCTCATTCTCTTGGTTGATTATGTGACTGTGAGAAGAAAAGCAAAAGCAAAAATGCGAAGCGTAGCTATGATGCTATTTTAGTTAAAAATATTCTGGTAGAATTTGAAGGTACCATAGAGATTACCTACAGATGGAAAAAACTGAAGGTCAGAGATGGGAAGTGCCTTGTCCAAGATCACACAGCATATAAGGGAAGAAGTAGGACTGAAATCCAGATTTCTCTGTTCCTGTTCCTGTTTTCTCTTTTCTTTTTTTGAGACAAGGTCTCACTCTGTCGCCCAGGTTGGAGTGCAATGGTGCAATCTCGGCTCACTGCAACCTCCAACTCTTAGGCTCCAGAGACCATCCTACCTCAGCCTCTTTAGTAGCTGAGATCCTGGCTATTTTTTATTTTTGGTAGAGATAGGGTTTCACCATGTGGCCCAGTCTTGTCTTGAACTCCTGAGCTCAAACGATCCACCCACCTTGGCCTCCCAAAGCGTTGGGAATATAGTGTGAGCCACTGCACCCGGCCAGGTCCTGGTCTCTTTTCATTATTATACAGCTGTCAACAATCATGGAGAGTTCTTTTTCCCTTTTGTTGGGTTCTTGTTCCTTTGCAAAGTCTATAAAGAACCAAGATGATCCAGGAAATTCAGGGAGTCCTCATTCACTTCCAAAGGCAGTTTGTTGTCTGTTGGCTGTGCTGTATGAATTGCTGTTTCAATTAAGTTTTTCAACATTTCCTATGAAGGCATGCAAATGACCACTGATTCTAAATAAACCCATTTAGGTATTCAGGGTTTATAAATATAGAGAATCTTGCTTTCTGCCTCATTCTTTCTGTCTTCCCTGGCATTCTTCCCTCTATCCACCTCCACTGAGATGCATTTTTATAAAAGACTTTACTTAGGACACATATTTTGATGAAATCCTTAACATTTTTCTTCTTTCCCAATTTTTATATTATCATTGTTATAATGCATTACAATAATTTATATTTTGCAAATTTGTTTTAATATGTTAATTTTGCAATGTAACTATCTCAAGGCTTCTAATGAGGAGAGGAGGAGGCCACAGATAGGACTAGATAGAGAGACTTTTAAAGATGTGGGTAGGGTGTTTGTGAATGTCTGGGCAGTGGAATATTTATGCAGCACTGTGGGTGTTTTGAACCCTCTGGAAACTAACAAGCAAGCTCCACACATAAACTTGGTGGAAGTCCTCCAAACTTTGGACAACACAGAGGCCTTTCAGAAGTCTGAACCAAGTCCAAGTCAAATTACAGCCCAGGGCACTGGTGCAAATGAGAGGCTGAGCAGATCAGAGGAAATGACACTTGTCCAGGACCCCAGAAACCCAGGGCCTGGTGCCGGGTCTACCACTTAGCAGTAATTTCCTTGTCAGTAAAAAGGGATGATAATAGCTCTTACCTCATGGAGTTGCACTGATGAGAAAAATAAAATAATGTATGTAAAGTCCTGAGCACAATGCCTGCCATATAATAGCACTTATTATTTGTATGAGATGCCAATAGGCTTTTGGAGAAAAACACATGAGAACTGGCAGTCAGTCAACTAGTGATGGCCCCTACTTGAGTAGTGAGGCAGCAGGATCACAGCCATAGGCTTTGGAGTTAGACCTGCTTTTAGATCCCAGCTCTGGCATTTTCTAGCAGCTGTGTGATCATGGGCAAGTCACCTGACTTCTTTTGGCCTCAATACCCATCTCACAGGGTTATTGCATGGATTAGTGATGTAGCCCATGGAAGCCTCAGTACCTGGCATGTAGTAGGTGCTCAATAAATGGTGGTTACTAGTCCAGGTCCTTAGAGAAAGGGGCTGTAAGAAGCCAGAGGAGTGAGGCAGTTGAGCCAGTTGTAAAACTAGCGGGGTTAAAAAAAAAAAAAAAAAACTAGGAGAGCAAGGTCAATCCCTTTGGGACCTGTATTAGTTTCCTGTGGCTGGTGTAACAAATTAGCACAAACTGGGTGGCTTAAAACTACAGAGATTTATTTTCCCACAGTTCTGGAGGCCAGAAGTTCAAAATCAGTATCATTGGGTCAAAAGCAAGGTGGCAGCAGGGCTGCACTCCCCCCAGAGGCTCTGGGGTAGAAACTGCTCCTTGCCTTTTGCAGTTCCTGGTGGCTGCTGGCATTCCTTGGCTCATGGCTGCATCCAGTCTTTGCCTGTGGCTTCACATGGCTCTCTCTCTCTCTCTCTCTCTCTCTCTCTCTCTCTCTCTCTCTCTCTCTCTCTCTCTCTGTGTGTGTGTGTATGTGTGTGTGTGTAATGCTCCTCATTCTCTAACTTATAAGACACTTGTGATTTCATTTAGGACCCACCTGGATAATCCAGGATAATCTCTCCATCTCAGAATCCTTAATCGATTAATTAATTTTTTGAGACAGGGTCTCACTGTGTCGCCCAGGCTGGAGTGCAGTGGCGAGAACACAGCTCACTGCAGCCTCGACTTCCCAAGCTCAAGCAGTCCATCTCACCTCAACCTCCTGAGTAGCTGGGACTATAGGTGTACACCACCACACCCGGCAAATTTTTGTATTTTTCTTTTTTCTTTTTTTGTAGAGACAGGGTTTTGCCACGTTGCCCAGGCTGGTCTCGAACTCTTGAGCTCAAGTGATCCACCTGCCTCAGCCTCTATACCTGACCTTAGTATCCTTAGTTGAATCACGTCTGCAAAGACCTCTTTTTCTTATTAGGTAACATTTATAGGTTCCAGGGATTAGGGCGTGATATCTTTAAGGGCCATTATCGTGCCTGTCATAGGGCGTAATGCACCAGTGGTTGGGAGAGGATTTCAGTTTGCTTTTCCCTGGAGTGATGTGGCAGGGACAGGAGTGGATGAGAAGGAGAGGAGAGATGTCACCAGAGCAGTGGCAAAGTCAAGCCAAGTCTAGCCTGTATGATTAGGGACAGAGCAGGGTAGACCAGGGATATAGGGGACATATGGAGACCACATGGAGATAGGCAAGGGGACACCAGCAAAGCCACATAGCAGAGTGGAACTCAGCACTAGCATCTGAGCAGGGACATGTTTATGGCCTCTAGGAAAAGGCATGAGTCACTTGGACATCTAGCTAGGGGAAGGAAGAGACCAAGGTTTACCTGATTGCACTGGTGAAGTTCAGAGCCAAAGTAGACTGCACTGAGAGCCTTAGACCCAACAGCTCTTGCCTAACCTCCCTGAGCTGGGCCTGGCTGGGCCACAAGGAATAGGACAGTCCCTGTCTTTGAGCAGTTCACATCCTAGTGGGGGAGACAGGCATATTAAAAGTGACTTATTAGTAATGCACATATGCATATGGGTCTGAAAGAACATGTAAAAGAACAGCTATTCTACCTGGAGCCAGAAGGTAGTGGATCTAAAGTTTCAAAGAGAGGAGGCACTTGAGGTGGATTTTAAAGTTTGAGAAGGAGTTTTCTAGGCAGAGGTGGACAAAGCTGGAGTTGAGACACAAGAAGGCAGGCAGGGTTGGGGAGGCTAGTGACCTTGCACGTTTTCTGATTTCACCTTGCTGTGAAACAAGTGCACTCTTCACACTGAAACAGGCAATCAAGCATTGCCAAGGTTTTATAATAAATGATCAACTGCAATCTAAATTAGAGCCCTGAGATTGGAGTTAGAAGACAAACTCAAATCTCAGCTTTGCCATTACTAGTTGAATGATGTTGGGCAAACCACTCCAGCCCTCTGAGCCCCATTGCCCTATCTGCAATATGAAGGGAGGAACATCTTCCTCTGATGATGAAGTGAAATAATCCAAGGGAAATAGTCTGAAAATCTACATGCTCAAATGTTAGTTTCCTGCCTTCTTTATAGGTAAGGCAGTTTAGTCTGACAGACCATCACCAGGCAAATGTTCTTCCTGCTAGGAAGGAACAGGAAGTTCCTTCATGAATGTCAAAGACATCTCACCTTACCAAGAACTAGACTTATTTTCTCAGTTGCATTTTCTTCTTCATTCTCCCTGCCCCACCTCCATGCTCACAGGAAAACTTCGGATTCTGCTCAGTCCTTTTACACCTTTGTCCTTCTATATTTTGCCAATTTGAGACTGTTCACTTCTAAAGAGAAGGGAATTTCTTAGTATGGTAGGCACTAATCAATATACATGCACACTCTCCACCCCAGGCAGCAACCATCACACTCCATAATCCTTGACTTTCTGGGAGCAGAACCAGCGGCTCTCCATCGCAGCTCACCAGCTTGTGTAATCCTCCCTTGGCCACGCCCATCATGCTTCTGACAGCCCAGTTTTGAGAAAATGCTATCTGAAGATCCATAGGAGGTACATCAGTAGGGTGGTTCAAAGGATGGGGTTTGGAGTGAGAGAACCTGGGTTCAAGTCCTGGCTCTGCCATTTCATATCTGAGCCTCAATTTCTTTCTCTGAAACGTACAAAAATGATTGTAACTACTTCATAAAGAATGTTACAATGATTAAATAAGATGCTTGTAAATTGCTTAGCACAGTACAGAGCTTCTATTAACTAGTTTTAAAGGGAAGGATTAGGACTAGAAAGATGCAAAAGTTATTTAGAAAGCCAGGAGGAGATGGAATGCTCCAACAGTACTTCCAACTCTCCCATGATTTCCAGTGACCAGATGACAGGGGCAAACCCCGTGCAAACTGTGAGCTGATGGAAGGGTTGATGCTGAGAAAAAAAGCCTCTTCTCCAAGCTAGCCTCTTCAGAGGCCCGGTTGGGGCCTGAAATCCTAGCCCCTAGACAGCCGTTTTCTTGACCAAGGCCTTACATCTCTAGGAATTATCTGATATAAAACAGAAAGGAAACACATTACATCATTAACATTTTTGCTGAAAATATAATATCTCATGGGACCTAAAGTAATGAAGCACAAGACAGGTATTTTTTTTTTTTAACACAGTGTTTCTATCTGTTCCTGAGGCTGAAGTGCAGTGGCGTGATCTCAGCTCACTGCAACCTCTGCCTCCTGGGTTCAAGCGATTCTCATGCCTCAGCGACCCAAGTAGCTGAGATTACTGGCGTATACCACCACACTTGGCTAATTTTTGTATTTTTAGTGGAGACAGGGTTTCACCATGTTGGCCAGGCAGGTCTCACACTCCTGGCCTCATGTGATCTGACTGCCTCCACCTCCCAAAGTGCTGGGATTATAGGCATGAGCCACTGTGTCTGGCCTAAGACAGGTACATTTTGACAGGGGAGGTGTAGTGGGTTGAATGATGGCCCCCAAGAGATATGCCTACATGCTGGAACCTATGAATGTGGCCTTGCTTAGAAAAAGGGTGCCTGCACATACAATCGAGTTAGGAATCTAGAGATGAGATTTTCTTGGATGATGTGGGTGGGCCCTAACTGCCTTGACAAGCATCCTTGTGAGAGAGATACTCACAGAAGAGAGACACATGGAGAAGAGAAGGCGTGGAGGGAAAGCAGCCCTGTGAAGATGGAGGCAGAGATCTGAGTGATGCAGCCACAAGCCAGAGAACGTTTGGAGACACCAGAAGCTGGAAGAGGTGTGGAAGGCTTATCCCTTACAGACCCTCCGGAGGGAATGTGGCCCTGCCCACACCTTGATTTTGGCCCTATGATACTGACTTTGGACTTCAGGTCTCTAGAGAATTCTTTTTTTTTTTTTTTTTTTTTTTTCTGAGTCAGTCTCACTTTGTCACCCAAGCTGGAGTGCAGTGGCGCGATCTCAGCTCACTGCAACCTCCGCCTCCTGGGTTCAAGCCATTCTCCTGCCTCAGCCTCCCAAGTATGTGGAATTACAGGTGCCTGCAACCGCTAGCTAATTTTAGTACAGACGGGCTTTCGCCATGTTGGCCAGGCTGGTCTCAAACTCCTGACCTCAAGTGATCCATCCGTCTCGGCCTCCCAAAATGCTGGGATTACAGGCATGAGCCATGGCGCCCAGCCCATTTCTGTTGCTTTAAGCTAGAGACAACAGAAGTTTGTGGTCATTTGTTACAGCAACCACAGGAAACTAATACAGGCTGTCAGGAAGGAGAGAGGGAAGGTTTGAGGTGCATGAAATGAAAACGGTTGGATCAACCCCAGCACTTTAAGACAGGTCAGGGCACTCACTGAGAAGGGCTCACTTTCAGAGGTTGTGCACACAATTTAGTCTATCCCTGTTTCCCTCATGTTGTTCATTCACTGGCTTCTGCCAATTTCGACAATGGCGTGGACAACTAGTATTTATGTAGGCCTTGTTGTCTCCTGCCAAACACTGCTCTGGGCTCAAAGCACACGGCACTTAGCAAGGCGGCTGGGACCCCTGCCCTCACAGCATGTCCAGTCTGGAGGAGCTGTTCCAGCACTCAGCCTGGCTTCTGGACTCTGTTCTTGCTGTCATTCACGCTTGGATTTGACAGTGGAGGTTCTGACCTTGACCTGTTCTTGTTCTGCTTGTTTTCAGCTTTGGCTCTTTCCTGGTTGCTGCTCCTCTCTCATCTGTTCCCCTCCCTTTCCAGGGTTGGCACTTGGCTCCTTCTGCATGCCTGGCCCAGCCTGGCATGTTTGGATCAGCTGACACTGCTCCATTCAGCCTGCACCCCATCCCAGGCCTCATCCACTATTTACAACTCTGTCTCCTGACCTGGGCTCCTGACATCCTGCTTCACCTCCTGAATATAGCTTCACATTTGTTCATGGATTTAACCACTGCTCTGGCTCTCCTGGTTCTGACGTGAGCTCGAAAGGCTGCTAGTGATTTATAGTTACTGACCTGCCTCACCTACCTGGCTCTAGGAGAATGGGGTTGTCCAGAGCAGGTTTAAGAAGGCTCTGATGAGCTGAATGAGATTTCTGTGGTACTATGATCTTGAGATGAATGTCAGCCATACCAAATGCTTAGTTGTCACAGTGTCTCCTTAAACAGGGACACTCTGCTGGTTCTTTTTTTGTTTTTTGAGGCAGGGTCTCGCTCTGTCACTCAGGCTGGAGTGCAGCGGTGCAATCTCAGCTCACTGCAGCCTCGACCTCCTGGGCTCAGGTGATCCTCCTGCCTCAGCCTCTCAAGTAGCTGGGACTACAGGTGCACACCATCATGGCTGGCTAGTTTTTGTCTTTTTTGTAGAGACAGGGTTTCACCATGTTGTCTAGGCTGGTCTCAAACTCCTGAGCTCAGATGATCCACCTGCCTTAGCCTCCCAAATCACCTGTTGGGATTACAGGTGTAAGCCACTGTGCCTGGCCCTGGTTGTTTCTTATACATTGCAGCTTAGGCCTGGTTAATAATTCCACTTTGTAGACTGTAGATAAACTATCTGTTCAAAGCACTCTGCTTATTTTTAATGTGTCTAATACAATGATCATCACACACATCTCTCCACAACTTCTCTTCAGTTCATCTTTTATTTTCGCTTTCTTCTCTTTCCTAGTAAAGAGTAGAAAAGGGTGAAATTGAACCCTTGAAAAGACAGAAGGAATTTGCGTTTGTGTTTTTTTTTTTTGTTTTTTTTTTTTTTGAGATGGAGTCTCGCTCTGCCACCCAGGCTGGAGTGCAGTGGCACGATCTCCACTCACTGCAAGCTCTTCCTCCCAGGTTCATGCCATTCTCCTGCCTCAGCCTCCCGAGTAGCTGGGACTACAGGCGCCCGCCACCACGCCCGGCTAATTTTTTGTATTTTTAGTAGAGATGGGGTTTCACCGTGTTGGCCAGGATTGTCTTGATCTCCTGACCTCGTGATCTGCCTGCCTCGACCTCCCAAAGTGCTGGGATTACAGGCGTGAGCCACCGCGCCCGGCCGCTGCCTTTGTGGTTTTTAATGATCAAATGTATCTCCTTTTGGAACACACAGAACTGAAGAGCAGTGAATGTATCTTTCTGATTATTTCTCTACAGTGCTATGTAGCAAAGGGTGGGAATGTGGGGGAGGAAAAGAGAAGGGAACTAACTTTTACCCAATGTCTCTAAGTACCAGGCATAGAGGTAGGTACTTTGTAGATAATATCTCATTTAAGGCTCACAACAATTCCAAGAGTTAGGTAGTAGTATCTCATTTTATAGATGGGGAAATTGAAACAGAAAGTTTGTAAGTCCTATCCAGAGTCATGGAGTTGGAATTGGGAGCTGGGGCTTGAGCCCATGTGCTGATGTAGCTGCCTAATACAAATGGAATAATAACAATGAAATGGTTTTTAGAAATCACCTGGGAGCATAACTAAAACTAGTCAAATCACCGGGACATAATACCTCTTTGCTAGAATGAGGGCTGACATGGGCTTTAATTAATTAATTAATTAATTAATTTAGAGATGGAATCTTGCTCTGTCACTGAGGCTGAAGTGCAGTGGCATGATCTTGGCTCACTGCAACCTCCGCCTCCTGGGTTCAAGCGATTCTCCTGCCTCAGCCTCCCGAGTAGCTGCGATTACAGGCATGCACCACCACACCTGGCTAATTTTTGTGTTTTTAGTGGAGATGAAGTTTCACCATGTTGGCCAGGCTGGTCTTGAACTTCTGACCTCAGGTGACCTGCCCGCCTCAGTCTCCCAAAGTGCTGGGATTTCAGGTGACGTGGACTTTAGCAACTTTGAATTTCTTTCTCAATGGAGGCTTGTGAGTATAAAAGAAACTACAGTTGTAGTTGGAGATTGCCATCTGCAAGTCTGCTTTTTTAGACAGTGTCTCAAATTAATTAACATTTTCGAAGCTCTTTGAGATACAAAGATAAGAGATGTCATAGGTATGACAAGTGTGACTACAATGCTGCCCCCAAAAGCAAGGTAGCATTCCAGATCCATCACCAGGGCCTGGCTGAAGCAGAAGAGGGTTCCAGTGGCCTGCATGGCAAGGCTTCTCCAGGGAAGACCCTGGGCATGGAAACAAGCATCCTCCCCATGGAGAGGCAACAAAGTGAAATTCTGCAGTGTGATTTCAGGGCTTGGGCTCAAGGTCCTGGCCTTCATTAAAAGATAACTACTCTTGGGAGGTATTAGTGGTTGTCTGTTACTTTCACCTGAATGGGAAGGAATTTCAAATTCTGTCCAAAGATCAATTTGGTTAGAAGGGGAGAAAACCCCAAGATCTCAGGTGCCAGGGGCTGGGAGGAGGAAGACCGCAGCAGGCTGGGGGACAACATGAAGAAGCTGAAGACTGAAGACCAGGCCTACTCAAACCATCATTTTACTTCGGGATGGTCCTTGGAATGAAACAGTGTTTTAATTCTTCAGTTAGAGGCCCAGGTACACACGTAGATCTAGGCATTAACTGTAAGCAGGGACTGGAGCCATAGAAATGGATGGAAACTTTCAAGGAAAGAAAATAGGAGCACATAGAATGAGCAAAGGGTGGAATAGTATTTCAGAAATTCAGGTAGAAATGATTTCCCTGGGCAGGAAGTAAAGATGAAGCCAGAGGAAAGGAATGAGGGCTCCACATGTAGTGGGAAGGAGATTGATGGATTGATAGATTTTTTTTTTTTTTTTTTTTTTTTTGAGACGGAGTCTTGCTGTGTTGCTCAGGCTGGAGTGCAATGCTGTGATCTCTCGGCTCACTGCAACCTCCACCTCTGGGTTCAAGCAATTCTCCTGTCTCAGCCCCTTGAGTAGCTGGGATTACAGGTGCACACCACCATGCCTGGCTAATTTTTTGTATTTTAGTAGAGACGGGGTTTCATCATGTTGCCCAGGCTGTTCTCAAACTCCTGAGCTTAGGCAATCCACTCGCCTTGGGCTCCCAAAATGCTAGGATTACAGGTGTGAGCCACCGTGTTCGGCCTAATTTCTTTTCTTTTCTTTTCTTTTCTTTTCTTTTCTTTTCTTTTTTCTTTTTTTTTTTCTTTTTTTTTTTTTTGACATAAGTTCTTGTTTGTTGCCCAGGCTGGAGTACAGTGGCATGGTCATAGCTCACTGTAGTCTCAAACTACTGGGCCCAAGTGATCCTTCTACCTCAGCCTCTTGAGTAGCTGGGACTACAAGTATGCACCACCATACCCAGTTAATTTTTCTTTATTTTATTTTTGTAAAAACGGGTTCTCACTATGTTGCCCAGCCTGATCTCGAAGTCCTGGGCTCAAGTGATCCTTCTGTCTCAGCCTCCCAAAGTTCTGGGATTACAGGCATGAACCACTGTGCCCAGCCAGGAAGGAGATTTAGAACCACCTAATAGATTGTCTATGACAAGACACAGAATATGCTCTGTGATAGCTTTACTGTTGTGAGGACACAACAACCCTCAGATGTGGGTATTATTATCCATCTTACACAGAAAAACTGAGGTCCAGAGAGCAGAAGTTATGTGTCCCAGGTCATGCAGTTAGCAAGTAGGAGCTGGAATCCAGGTGCTCCAACTCCACGGTTTGTGCCCTTCCCACCTGCCTGTGGCTGCTTCCCACATCCATCATTTTCAAGGACGCAAGGTACCAAGAGAGATGAACGTGACACAGTGGAAAGAAACTGAGCTTTAGGTCCAGCACATCCAAGTCTGACTCTTGGCTCCAACACTGAATTGTTGTGTGTCTTACACAAGTATTTGAGCCCTTCATGCTCATTCTCCTTAGTTATAGAATAGGGTGAGAGTTCCCATCTCTTACACTTTTTTTGAAGCCATTTATTTCACACTTTGAGCATTAAATAAACAGATGATGCTGATGATGATAAAAATTGTAATAGTTGGCTGGGAGCGGCAGCTCATGCCAATCCTAGCATTATGGGAGGCAAAGGCAGGAGGATTATCTGAGCCCAGGAGTTCAAGGTTGCAGTGAGCTATGATCATGCCACTGTACGCCAGGTGACAGAGTGAGACCCTGTTTTTAAAAAGAAGAAAAGAAGAAGGAAGAGAAGGAGGAGGAAGAGGAGGAGGAAGAGAGAAGGAGGAGGAGAAGGAGGAGGAAGAGGAGGAGGAAACATACACACACACACACATACAAACAACTGTTAGAGATTATTCCCACTTTACAGATAAGAAGCCCATGCATAGGCTGAGCATGGTGGCTTATGCCTGTAATCCCATCACTTTGGGAGCCTGAGCTGGGAGAATTGCTTGAGCCCAGGAGTTCAAGACCAGCCTGGGCAACATAGTGAGGCCCCCATCTCTAAAAAAGGAAAAAAGAAAACAATGCACAGGAAAGCTAAATAAGTTGCACAATATCCCATAGATACTAAGTGGGAAAGTTATGTTCAATAAGAGAGGTACAGATAAACCCCTAAGACAGGGAGTCTGACTGGGGGTAGAGAGACCGGCAAGGCTTAAGGAAGAGCTGGCCTTGTGCCACCACTGTGCTTTGCATGGTCTTTGCTCAGAGTGGGAGCTCAGCAGGGAATGTTGACAATGATCAGTTTCCTCTCCTAGATCCTCCCTGCCTTGGTCATTTTCCCCAAGAGGGTTCTCTTCTTATATCTGGCTGTGATTTACTCATTGCTGTTTTTGAGCTGCAGCTCTTGTGACTCAGTTTATCTCTCTTGTCAAACTTTCCTCAATCAGATCATTTTTTTCCATTTTTTAAATTGTGGCAAGATACACATGACATAAAATTTACCATCTTAACCATTTTAAAGTGCACAGTTTAGTGGTATTAAATACATTCATAATGTCGTGCAACTATCACCACCATCCATCCAGAACTCTTATCATCTTGTACGACTGAAACTCTGTACCCATTAAGCAATAACTCCCCATTCCCCCCTCCCCCCAATACCTGGCCACCACTATTCTACTTTCTGTCTATGATTTTGGCGGCTGTAAGTACCTCATGTGAGTCAAATCATACAGCATTTGTCCTTTTGTGACTGGCTTATTTCATTTAGCATAATGTCCTCAAGGCTCATCCATGTAATAGCAGGTGTCAGAGTTTCCTTCCTTTTTGAGGCTAAAGAATATGAAGAATATTCCATTGTCCGTATATACCATATTTGTTCATCCATCTATTGATGAACCCTTGGGTTGTTCCCACATTTTAGCTGTTGTGAATAATGCTGCTATGAATGTCGGTGTACAAATATCTCTGGGATCCTGCTTTCAATTCTTTTGAGTATGTACCCCAAAGTGGAATTGTGAGATCATACGTGAATTCTATCTTTAATTGTTTGAGGAGTCGCCGTACTGTTTTCCACAGCAGCTGCACCATCTCCATCAGGTCTTGACTTCATCATCCTTCAACAATCCCCATCCCACGTGTTGACAGATGGAATCCTAGTTTCCTGTCTTTTGTTCCTCTGATTTCTCTATTTCTCAGCGCCCCATTATCTTACTATCGTAACTTCTGAGTCTGATTCTGGGAGGCAACTTGTACTGTCGTCAGCTCCCCAAACTTTATTTATTTATTTTTAGAGAGGGTCTTGCTCTGTTGCCCAGGCTGGAGTGCCGTGGGGGCAATCACAGCTTACTGTAGCCTCGAACTCCAGGACTCAAGTGATCCTCCTGCCTCAGCCTCCCATCGCTGGGATTACAGGCATGAGCCACCATGCCTGGCTCCCAGCTCCCCAAACTTTTACCTCCTGCTTTTACCTCCGGGGAGCACTTGGCCTAAAGAGACCTGACAGAGATTGAAGGGACATCTGCATGTCAGATAGAAGGTGGGAGGTTGGGTGTGGTTCCCTTTAAGATTACCCTGTCTCCAAGCAACTATTATAAAGCAAATACACAGAGTTTGTGTGAGCTAGGCCCAGGGTAGGGAAATAGGGTTGAAGGAATGTGCACCTAGAGGCTTCTGGTCACATGCAGGTCCCTGCTCCCACATGTATTGGAAGCATCAGGCCGTGGGGCTTCATATTTGAATTCCAGGGTCAAACTGTCCATTCCAGACCTTGGAGAGTAAATTAAGCCCTGACTCCTGGGCTTCTTGATGCAATGCCACTCTCCCACTCCCCATTATCTGAATTTATTTAAGAAGCTACAGGTGCTGGTAGTCAAGCCATTTGGTGATTTTTTTTAAAGCCACTTTGTTATTTTTATTTTATATATTTTTCTATTTTTGAAACAGGGTCTTGCTGTGTCACCCAGGCTGGAGTATAGTGGTGCAAACACAGCTCACTGCAGCCTTGACCTCCTGGGCTCAGGTGATCCTCCCACCTCAGCCTACCATGTAGCTGGGACCACAGGCACACACCACAATGCAATGCCCAGATAGTTGTTTTTTAATTTTTGTACAGACAGGGTCTCATTTATTTGCCCAGGCTGGTCTCGAACTCCTGGGTTCAAGCAATCCTCCCACCTCTGTCTCCCACAGGCATGAGCCATTGTGCCTAGCCCAAAAAGCCACTTTGGTTACCCAGGGCAAACCCAGAATAATAGAGCCCCAGAAAAATCCATGGCCTAAACACACGTTAAAAGAATGATTGGAACTTGTGACCCCCAATAGTGGCGGAACAGTGGTGCGCTAATTGCCCTGGGAGAGGGGTGCATGGCAGCTTGATATGTGGCCACAGTGAATAATAGACCAGGCACACACCCAGCTCACCCGGGAGTCTGGGGATGCGGAGGCTGCCTTGTGATTTCTGCCTCGAGTTCTAATTTCTATCTCAGCTTGTCACAGTCAGGGCCCTGAAACTTCTCTCCCTGCTGTGGTGCTGCATGGTTTGAACCCTGTGGGCCCTGCCTGGAGGTGGAACAGCTCTCTGCTCCCACCCTGCACAGGGTGAGGCCTGGGGCTCTGGGCCTGGAGGAGGGAACAACTTGACTGATTACACTCACCTCCCCCAAAGCTCCTTTTAGCGAGCACAGGCTGTTCCACTTTCCCTGTAGCTTAGCAACCTGAGCCCCTGACAACTGATTTATTGGAAAAAAGCTTAACTTTCTCCGAGCAGGTTTCCTTTCTTTTTCTCTCTCCCTCTTTCCCTCTCTCTTTCCTTCTCTCTCCCTTCCCTCTTCTTTTTTTTTCTTTTTCTTTTTGGTACATAAGCAAGCCTTGACTGTAACAAGGTCCTTGCAAATTCCTCTGAGGATGCTGATTTCACCCTCTGTAGTGTGGACTCCTGCCTGAATACCGGCTTTCTCCCCCATCTTGCAACCTCAGGTCTCACCTCCGGTCCCTCCTCCATACTGTAGCCAGAGTGATCTTTGTTTATTTTATTTATTTTATTTATTTATTTAGAGACAGACTCTCCCTCTACACAGGCTAGAGTGTGGTGGCACGATCTCAGCTCACTGCAACCTCCACCTCCCAGGTTCAAGCGATTCTCCTGCCTCAGCCTTCCAAGTAGCTGGGATTACAGGCACACGCCACCATGCCTGGCTAATTTTTGTATTTTTAGTAGAGACGGTGTTTCACCATGTTGCCCAGGCTGGTCTCGAACTCCCGATCTCAGGTGATCCGCCCGCCTCAGCCTCCCACAGGGCTGCCCAGAGTGATCTTTTTGAAGCTCAGTTCTGATAAGCTTCCTGCTATGGTCTGAATGTTTGTGTCCCTCCAAAATTCACATGTTGAAATCCTAACTCTCAAGGTGATGGTGGTAGAAGGTAAGGCCTTTAGGACATTCTTAGATTATGAGGGCTCTGTCCTCAGGAATGGGCTTGGCACCCTTATGAAAGAGGCCCAAGGGAGCTTGTTTGCTCCTTCTGCCATGTGAAAAGATGCTGTCTATGAGGAAGTGGCCCTCACTGGACACCGCATTTGCCGATATCTTGATCTTGGACTTTCCAGCCTCTGGAGCTGTAGGAAATAAATTTCTGTTATTTATAAGCCACCTAGTTTGGGGCATTTTGTTAGAGCAGCTTTAACCGTCTAAAACACTTCCCCTCTTGCTTAAAACACTTTGGTAGCTCCCAGGAGAAATATTCTTGTATGGCCCTCCAACAACCAGCTCTGCTTATCTCTTTCATGTCACCCCATCTCTCTCCACACCTTCACACTCTGCTCCCCCTGATTATAATTCTTCTCTTTCTTGCTTCATGTCTTTGCATATGCTGTTCATTCTAACAGAAATGTCCTACTTCTGCTCACTTAGCTATAAACTGTTCTTCAAGATTCAGCTGAAACATAGGTTCCTCTGGGCGGCCTTTCTTGCCCACCACCCAGGCAGAACTGCCCATTCCTTCCCCTGTGCTGCCACCCACCCAGGACCTACTTCTTGGGGTGCACATATGGACCTGTGCCACAAATGTGAAATTGTCACTAGACTGCGAACTCCTTGAGGGGAGGGAGTATTTCTCATTCTCCAACATGTCTCCAGTGCCTGACACAGAATGATCTGTGTGATCAGGTGATCATGTGAGTGGATGAGAAATACAGGAAGGAAAGAGGGAAGGAAGAACAAATGGTGTGATGGAAACACATCTGAACATCCAGAAGCCAACATCCAAGGGGGAAGGAGGATGGCACCCACAGTGACATCTGCCCAGCAGGATGAAAATGACTTTTCCTTGACTTCCAGGCCCTAATCTTGTGGATCAAAGGCAAAGAAAGGTGGGCTTCTGGAGGCCTGGCAGAGGTACCTGGTAAGAGAAAATACAAAGCCAGGCCATCTGAGCCCTTTTGCTCCCAGATTCATTTCTTGCCCATCTCTTGCCTGGAATCAGGGAGGCTGACCCCTGTAAGCGCTGCATCAGTGGTTTCTGGCTGGGTTTGACCAATGGGAAGTGCTGGGGGGGAAGTTGGAGGGTGGGAGGAGGGGAGAAGCCAGGGTATATCTCCATGTCCCTCTCGGCTTTCGTGGTATTTCTGGCAGTGACTGTCTTTCTCTGAGTCTATAGATATTGCTGGAGAGGCCTGCTACTATTCCAGCATTTGGCAGGTGATCTGGTCCCTGGGCTCAGATAACACTGCCTGCCATCTTTTGTCCCTCCATCCCTTGGGGGTGGTTGTTGCTTTCAGATGCTCTGGGCTGCCACTTCTTCCCTTAGCTGATTTCTCAGCCTTCTGTGACCTATGTAAACAGTTCCCTGCACTATGTCCTCCCTGTTGTAAAGAGTTAGAGTGGTTTCCATTTTCCTGGTTGGACCCCAACTACTGTACCAGTTTAGTTTAGAAATTCCCTTATAGGGTCATTGATGCTTACTTTGGAGGAGGTGGCATATTTTTGTCTTTTTCTAGGATATCGAGTGGTAAGGTGGTGTGGTGTGTCTGTTTTAAACTAGATGGGGAGAGTTGGGTACACTTGTTTGGTCTGCCAGGCCACACCTCTGCTCATTTTGAGCTCCAAGGGCCCACTGTGCAAGTTCTTCATAAATGACATGCCATCTGGGTTTCAGAGATTCTGCCTGACCTCTAACCCCTGTCCCTTGCCCCCAAGGAAGAAGATGGAGCTCCGGGCCCAGTCCCTGAGTTCATGTTGGAAAAGTAGCATAAAGGAGGATATCAGGGGAAGCAAGGTGCTGGTGAAAAGAGAGACTGTGGCATAAAGAAGGGAGGAAAGGAAAGGGAAAAATAGGGGAAGATGATGAAACAGGTGTGCCCATGTTTAGCGCATAGTTTGGCTCAGCTGATACTGGTTGAATGAATAAGAGAATAGAGACAGTGGAAGGGACAGGTGGAATGGAATTTGTGGGCAGTACTGACAAAGGTCAAGTGGAACTTTGTCTCCGCTACTGTCACCATGCCTCAGGTCTTCTGAATGGCTCTTCTGTGAGAACAGCCTGCTAACTGGTTTTCTGGCCACTGCTTCCAGGAACTTATCCCAAATCACCATCTCAGTTGCTTGCGCCAAAATGTTCTAGTGGCCCCTAGGTGGGTAGTGATCAAATTCCACTGTGTACTTCCAAGCCTTGTCTTATACTGCACGTTTTTAAAACTGGAGTCCACATTATTCTCCATGCCTGGAAGGTGTGTTTGTGTGCGTGTGTGTGTGTGTGTGTCTAGGGTTGAGGGGAGGAGATGATTTACTTTGAAGGCATGGTACGTACCCTCAGTCTTGCTCCCTAAAACTGCTTTCCTGGCTTCTATCTTTGTCCCTTTAAGGCTTGGGATCCTACCATGATTTGAGACAGCATTGGGCAGCAGGAAGTTGGGTAACTGAACTCAGATCTGGCCCCTGACCCCACCTCCCGCTCTCCCTCTTCCCATAAATTCCTTTTGGCTGTTGCCGTGTGTGGAATGCTGGCTCCACTCCAGCAGACTGGAGGTCGCTCACAGCTGTCCTCACTCTCTGGGCTTCTGAGAAAGAATGGACTGTTGGGCACACAATGGCTTAGCCCCCCAGACAGCCTGTGCTTATACTCAGAGGTCACTATGCCTGCTGCTGAGCTGTGTGTGTCAGAGCAGATGCGGGGACTAGCTCTGGGCAAGTGACAAGAAGACAAAAGAGCATGTCAAATTGTGCTTCCCCAGCCCAGTGGGACAGCCTGTGACTACACTGGAAGCCAGGCTGGGACTTGACGATTCTTTTGCTGACTGCTGGGAGACTAGAAGATACCTGGCTCAACCTCATCCCTCATAGTTAATCCAATGAGCCTTTGCAAACGCATGTAGTGTGACATGGCAGCTATGCTTTGCATAGACCTGGGTGTGATCTCCTGCTCTGATACTTACCAGCTGTGCAGACTTGGACAAATTACCTGATCTCATTTTCCTCATATGTACAATGGAATAATGAATACCAACCTTGGCTGGGCGCAGTGGCTCATGCCTGTAATCCCAGCACTTTGGGAGGCTGAGGCGGGTGGATCACCTGAGGTCAGGAGTTCGAGACCAGCCTGGCCAACATGGCAAAACCCCATCTCTACTAAAAATACAAAAATTAGCGGGGCGTGGTGGCACACATCTGTAGTCCTAGCTACTCAGGAGGCTGAGGCAGAATGGCTTGAACCCGAGAGATGGAGGTTGCAGTGAGCCAAGATTGCACCACTGCGTTCCAGCCTGGGTGATAGAAGGAGACTCCGTCTCAAAAAACAACAACAGCAACGAAAAACAAACTTATAGAGTTCCAAGTACAGATGCTCCTTGACTTGTGATGGGGCTGTGTCCCACTAAATCCATCAGAAGTGGAAGATATCTGAAGTTGAAAATGCATTTGATGCTGGTAACACAGCAGATGGTCCCCGACTTATGGTGGTTCAACTTATAACTTTTTTACTTCATCCTGATGCAAAAGCAGTAAGTATTCAGTACAAACTGTAATCCCACTGTAAGTCATAAGAAGCTCTTTGATAAACTTAATGTTAAGTCAAAAAATTGTATGTCTAACCATCATAAGTTGGGGACTGTCTGTATTTTGTACCTTATGAGGCTTCAGTAAAAGGCACTATTTTTATTACTGCTATTTATTTATTTTTTGAGACCTCTTGGGGTTAAACTCTGTGCTTGGCCTCAAGGCTATGAGTGAGAATACAGAGATGAATAAGATGCTGTTAGGGGCCGGGCGCAGTGGCTCATGCCTGTAATCCTAGCACTTTGGGAAGCCGAGGCGGGCAGATCACCCGAGGTCAGGAGTTCAAGACCAGCTTGGTCAACATGGTGAAACACTGTCTCTACTAAAATACAAAAATTAGCCAGGCGTGGTGGCACACACCTGTAATCCCAGCTACTCAGGAGGCTGAGGCAGGAGAATTGCTTGAACCTGGGAGGTGAAGGTTGCAGTGAGCCAAGATTGTGCCACTGCACTCCAGCCTGGGTGACAGAGTGACACTCTGTCTCAAACAAAAACAAAAACAAAAACAAAAGATCCGGTTAGGGCCAGATGTGGTGGTTCATGCCTGTAATCACAGCACTTTGGGAGGCGGAGGCAGGCAGATCACTTGAGGTCAGGAGTTCGAGACCAGCCTGGCCAACATGGTGAAACCCTGTCTCTACTAAAAATACAAAAAAAATTAGCTGGGCGTGGTGGCATGCACCTGTAGTCCCAGCTACTTAGGAGGCTGAGGCAGGAGAATCACTTGAACTCAGGAGGCAGAGGTTGCAGTGAGCCAAGATCGTGCCACTGCACTCCAGCCTGGGCGACAGAGGGAGACTCCATCTCCAGTAAAAAATAAATAAATGTTCTGTTAGTACTTTTGGGAGGTGACGATCTAGAGCAGGGGTGGGAAGACTACTGCCTGAGGGTCAATTTTGCCAGTACTCATTTTTTTGTTTTTTGTTTTGAGACTGGGTCTTGTTCTGTTTCCTAGGCTAAAGGGCAGTGGTGTGATCATAGCTCACTGCAACCTTCAACTCTGGGCTCAAGTGATCCTCTCCTGCCTCAGCCTCCTGACTAACTGGTACTACAGGCACATGACACCACGCCTGGCTAATTATTTTTATTTATTTGTTTATTTTTGAGACAGAGTCTTGCTCTGTTGCTCTGGCTGGAATGCAGTAGTGCAATCATGGGTCACTGCAGCCTTTTCCTGCTGGGCTGAAGTGATCCTCGCATCTCAGCCTCTTGAGTAGCTAGCACTACAGGTGTGTGCTACTGCACCCAGCTAATTTTTAATTTTTTGTAGAAATGAGGTCTCGCTATGTTGCCCAGGCTGGTTTTGAACTTCTAACCTCAAGAAATCCTCCCACCTTGGCTTCCCAAAATGCTGGGATGACAGATGTGAGCCACCGTGTCTGCCCCCTGTTTTGTAAATAAAAAGTTTTTTTAGAACACAGTCATGTCTATTCATTTACATATTGTCTACGGCTGTTTTCACACAACGACGGTGGAATTGAGTAGTTGCAACAGAGGCCATGTGACCCACAAAGCCAAACTATTTGTTATCTGGACCTTTATAGAGAAAGTTTGCTGACCCTGGAAGATGGCTATATAATCAGGATGAAGCTATTTGGAGAAGAGGTAGAGATCATCCAAAATGATGGCCCAGAAGGAGAGAGAATCAATTCTGACTTGAGCGGGCATCAGGGCTTTAAGCCAGGCTGTGAGGGCTGAGAAAGAAATTAATCCCTGGAGCCTGAAAGTAGGGGAGGGGTGGGAATGGGCATGTAAAATTTGAGCACAATTTTAAAGGGGTATGATCCATATGCAGTAGAAGAGACTAGAGATTAAATGGCTAGTTCAAAGCCATGCAATTTGGAGTCAGAACTTGAACTTGGCTCATGATATGGTTTAGTTCTGTGTTCCTACCCAAATCTCATCTTGAATTGAAATCCCCACTTGTTGAGGGAGGGACCTGGTGGGAAGTGATTGGATCATGGGGGCGGTTTTCTCCATGCTGTTCTCATGATAGTGAGTGAGTTCTTTTGAGCTCTGCTGGTTTAAAGGCAGCACTTCCCTCTTTGCTCTCTCTCTCTGTTCTGCCACCATGTAAGACGTGTCTTGCTTTCCCTGCACCTTCCTCCATGATTGTAAGTTTCCTGAGGCCTTCCCAGCCATGTAGAACTGTGAGTCAATTAAACTTGTTTTCTTTATAAATTACCCAGTCCTGGGCAGTTCTTTATAGCACTGTGAAAATGGGCAAATACAGCTCAGTGCCTTGGAGAATTTACATGACCTTATATTGATGTAGTATTTTATAGGATGCAAAATACATAAACACATATAACATCATTCAGTCCCCACAACCACACTCAGAGGTAGGGATTGCTAGTGTTATTTTATAGATGAGATTAAACATTACATCCAAGAAGCAGCATTGTTGGCCTTGAATCCAGGGAAGATGCCTGTTGACTGTGACAAGGGTACAAAGCCTCTGCAGTTTACAACTCTGTCACAGGATATGTCCTGGTTGTCTGGCACAGATGTAAATGACAGGCCTAAAAACACAGGCAGGGGACCGTCTTCTTTTTTTTTTTTTTTCTTTTGAGACAGGGTCTTGCTCTGTTACCCAAGTGGGAGTGCACTAGCACGATCTCAGCTCACCGCAACCTCTGCTTCCTGGGTTCAATTTATTCTCCCACCTCAGCCTCCTGAGTAGCTAGGATTACAGGCATGTGCCACCATGCCCAGCTAATTTTTTTGTATGTTTATTAGAGATGGGATTTTACCATGTTGGCCAGGCTGGTCTTGAACTCTTGACCTCAGGTGATCCACCCTCCTTGGCCTCCCAGAATGCTGGGATAACAGGCATGAGTCACTGCACCTGGCCCGGGGCAGGGTAACTTCTGACCTGTACACCCTGTGGGTTATTTAAAACCCAATATGACTTTAGTGAAGGTCTGTTGTATAATATGCACAGAACTAAATGCCGAGAGAAAAACCCATGGAGAAACACAAGACAAAACCACCCCTGGCCCTCCAGGGGCTGTGGGTTTAGCTGAGGACATAATCTTCAAAGACCCATAATGGCATGAGACAGTATACGCCAAGTCACCAACATGTGGTGCAGACACGGGGACGGGAGTTGGAGGCTGTAATCAGGAAGGCTCCATAAGGGGTGTGAGGCTGGAGACGGGGTTTAGCTGATTCTATGCCGTGGATTAATTGAGGTGGCCATCTCCTCACATTACAAAATCCCCATCAAACCACAGAACCTGAGAGCTGGCAGGGATCCCAGTTCTTCTCTCCATTTACAGATGGGAAAACAGAGTCCCTAAGAAAGGGCTGAGTAGCCCATGAAGTCCTGATATGGAGCTCAAACTCAGGTTTCCCTTTGAAGTCCAGGGCTTTTCTATAGCACTGTTTTGTCCCTTTCCTCTAAATTAACCCCCTAGACTTCAGTTTTCCCTTTTCCTTTCCAAATGTGCCCTACAGAGAGTTGGTAGATGAAGACTCCAGAACCTCCAGTGGTGTGTGTCACTCTTCTTGCTCACCTCTTCCTCCTCCCCATTTTCCATATCTCCTTGCTGCCTTCAGAATAAAGACCAAGGCTTAACCTGAGTGACTGGAGAGGGTAGTGGCTGAGAGTGTAGGCTCTTGCACCAAGTTGTCATTGGTTTGAACCCTTCCCTTCTCTACCACTTAACCACTGTGTGGGCCTGGGTGAGTGGGAGAACCTTTCCATGCTTTAGTTTCCTCATCCTCTTTCCTCAAAGTGGGTATAATCATACCCAGACTGTGTAATCACAGTAATTGCCTCATAGGACTATAAGGAATACATGAGATAATCCATGAACAAAACATAAATTAGTGTTTGGTATCCAGCAGGTACTCAATGAAAGTTAGCTAAAGGCATTGCCATTACCCTGGTATTCATCAGCCCTTGCAATTGGACTCCGCCCATTTCTCCAACCTGGCCTCCCCAAACCGGTCTATTCATTGTCTCTTATTAGCCATGCACCATTTCTCCCTTTTGAGCTCTCCCCTCTACTTCCCTGCTCCTCCCCGTATATTTGTTTTACTGTGTGCTGTTGGGTCGCCTTCTCTTTCTCAGAAGCCCTGCAGCACCAGTCTGCACTTTGTTCTTACATTATCCATCCTGTAAGTCCATATCTAATGGTTTCCAGGCAGCAGGGCTTCTGGGTTCCCCTAGCACTTAACACTGGATTTTGCACATGGCAGGCGGGCACTCATCCAATATGTCTTCATTTATTGAGCACCTACTATAAAAAAGACCTTTGTAGGCCAGGGCGGTGGCTCACTCCTGTAATCCCAGAGCTTTGGGAGACTGAGGCAGGAGGATCACCTGAGGTCAGGAGTTCGAGACCTGCCTGACCAATATGGTGAAACCCCGTCTCTACTAAAAATACAAAAATTAGCGGGGTGTGGTGGCCGGCGCTTGTAATCCTAGCTACTCGGGAGGCTGAGGCAGAAGGATTGCTTGAACCCAAAGGCAGAGGTTGCAATGTGCCAAGATTGTGCCACTGCACTCCAGCCTGGGCAACAGAGCAAGACTCCGTCTCAAAAAAAAAAAAAAAAAGACCTTTGTTGACACTGGGGACACAGGATTGATTAGTCCCTTCTTCATCCTCACAGTATGGAGGGAGACACAGACTCATAAGCCAAGTGCTTAGGACTAGAATGGAAGGAGGACCTCACTCAGGGGAGCCCATGGAGGGAAGGAGTAATTGGTACTGATGCATGTTTCAGGGTCTTGACAAAGAAGAGTGATAGGACCCAAGGGGGAGATTCCAAAGTCATTATACCAGAGGAGTAAATGGGCCTGGGCACTGAAGGAGAGAGAGGAGTTAAAGCTGATTCTGGGCTTTTCAGCCTGGACAACTGAAGGCATCTTCTGGAGACGTGCCTGAGCTAGTTAGGGTCACCAAGAGCAGGGAACAGAGTGAGGACAAAGACCCCACTGAAAGGGGGTCTTTTACTTCATTCTCAGGCACAGCCAGGCCTGGGAAAGGAGGAAACTCAAGTCTGAGGCTGGAAAACAGCAAGAAAGTTGAAAGCTAGGGAAGAGGGTCTGTATTGGGCCGTTCTTGCATTGCTATAAAGAAATACCTGTGACTGGGTAATTTATAAAGAAAAGAGGTTTAATTGGCTCATGTTTCTGCAGGCTTTACAGGAAGCCTGGTGCTAGCATCTGCTTGGCTTCTAGGGAGGCCTCAGGAAACTTACAGCCATGGAAGAAGGCAAAGGGGGAGCAGGCGTGTCACATGGCAAAAGCACGGGCAAGAGAGAGAGAATAGAGGGAAGTGCCATATGCTTATAAATGACCAGGTCTTGCAAGAACTCACTATCACAAAGACAGCACCAGGCTATGAGGGATCTGCCCCCAGGATTCAAACACCTCCCACCAGGCCCCGCCTCCCGCATTGGGGATTACAATTCAACATGAGATTTCGGCGGAGACAAATATCCAAACTATATCAGGGTCCTTCCATGCATGATGCAGGAGGGAGTGGCCTGAAAAAGACGGATGGGTTACAGGGGAAGGCTACAGGGGAGACAGGCATGGGTAGGGTGAAAGGGCATTCAAGAATGAATTTTCTGAGAATGCCCATTCCATGAGTGGCTGTGAGCATTTGGGGGCCAGGATGGGGTTTCAATAGCCCCGCTGCACTGGGCAGTGACTTCAAGGGACTACCTTGAAGTCAAGAGTTGCATGTTTCCCAGCTTTGTACATTCTACACCATGGCAGGAATAGGGAAGTCAAGGAAGAGGAGGAAGACTTCACTTTTGGATTTATGTTAGTAAAGGAAGTTCAGGTATTATGGGGGCTATAGCACGCTGATTCCAAGATGCTAACTGGATGTACAAACACCAATGCTCAGAGAGCTGTCTGGAGATAGGAACTTGAGTTTTGGAGTCCACCACTTTGACAAAATGGTGGAAGCTACGGCAGCGAGTCCATCCTTTAAGGGAGAGAACCTTTGGCATGTGAACCTCCGGAGATGGGAGATGGAGAACAGTACAATAGAGAGTCTCACCTCAGGGAGCTTCCAAGTAAATGGAATAAGAGAGACCCAATCCTAGGTGGGATGTGACAAGTGATACCAGCCAGGTCTAAAATGCAGGAGAAGTCAGAGGAGATCGAGGTCATTTCAGGAAATGGGTGGGGCAGGGAGGAAGAAGGGGTTCTGGGTGGATCAGGGAAGTCTCTCTGAGGGAAAAGGTATCTGAGGCAGATCTGAAAGAGTGGGCAGGACTCCAACAGTGGAGCCCGGGTGAGGCGGGCAAGGTGTTCTAGGTGAAGGAACCAGCACGAGTACTGGGGATGAGGCTGGAAGAGCAAACTGGAGTCAGATGGTGAAGGGCACCAGATGCTGGGCTGAGGAGTTTAAATAGGAGTCTGGCACAGGGAAGCAGCCACTGATGGTTGAGGGTTGGGGACAGACTGATACTGACATGACTCAAACTGGCTTTTGGAGAGTTCAGCGTGGAAGCCCTATCTAGTGTGGCCTGAGTAGAAAGCCCCTGGCACCATGGAGATCTCCTAGAGGGCTGTTGCTGAGTGCCCCATCTTCCTGATGTATACTGGAGCCACCATCCCGGTCTTCTTGCTGTGCTGCCCCTCACTTGCGGAAATAGACCGAGCTCCTGATAAGGCGGGCCGGGTTACAGAGGGTAGCAGGCAGGCAGACGGGCGCTGACTGCAGCTTAGCAGATGTGTCACTGATAAGCGGTGATCTTCTTGTGTTTGACCTTATCCTGTGCCGAGCTCTTTGTGGGAGAGTGGAGAGGATCAAATATCTGCACCTGGCTCTTCTCTTTCCAACCAGGCCTCTGCTCCAAAACTAGGGGTTTTTGTTTTTTGCTGGTGGTGTTATCATTATTACTATTATTTTTTTTTTTAACAAGCGCTTAATGGTCTAGGGTTCTACCTTCCTTTCAGATTATTTCTCCTGTTTTATTCACCACAATTTATTTACTCTTTTGTCTCTTTTCCAAGTACTAACTAGGCCTGACTCTGCTTAGCTTCCTAGATAAGGCGCATTCAGGGCGGTATGGCTGTAGACTCATTACTCTCTTGTCTTAGGGACTATCCTGAAGTCAAGAATTGCATGTTTTTCAGCTTTGTACATCCCGCACCATGCTTTGTACATAGTAGGCCCGCAACGTTTTTGGCGACCTCAAACCCAAACAAAGTCTCTCTTCTACTTCCAGAATCACTGAGTTCTGCTTCTGAGGTGCTCACACAGGTCCTTGCCTTGGATAACCGGCACGACGGCATCTCCTCAAGAGGAGACAAGAGATAATAACCAAATGAAAACATTCTCTTGGCATCAGTACCTTCCAAGGACAGAGGAAGAATTGTTCTCTGGTGTGGTGTTTTGCAAAGGCATGTAAAGGGTTAATTAAATCTCAGCCCACAGGACTGTGCCATATAAAGGCATTCTTGCAGCAGGAATGTGGGAGTAATGTTGGGAAGCAGGTTTCTCTCCAGGCTCCGGGGCCTGGAGTTGGAGGCTAATGTCTGGAGCTGTGCAGAGGTAGGGAGACACGGGGCTCTGGGGGCCAAAGGGCATGATGCCGAGGGCCTGGTGTGCTCCGCCTGGCCTAAGCCTACCGAGGAGGAGCCCATGTGGGTCCAAACAGTGATCTAGCTTCTGAGTAGAGAAGGCTTAAAATAGTGGTAATCATTCCAGCAGCTGCCGTTTGCTGAGCGCTTGCTGTGAGCAGGCACCCTGCCAAGAGCTCTTCATGTGTGACCTCATGTCCACCTCTCTCCCTGGGAGCCAACGGCTCTTGAGGACACTTGGTTATGGCGTCCCCCCTGGAACACTGGGCCTCAAGCAGCACAACTAACGCTCATGGGACACTCACCGTGTGCCAAGCCCTTGCATGCACTTCACCTCGTTGAATCCGTACAGCCGTATTTTGGGGTAGGTGTATTTGTCTCCATTGGTCAGTTTAGGAAACAGAGGCTCTCTGAAGTTAAGTCATTTGCTAAGATGACACGAGCTAGGGGCAGAGCCAGGACTCAAGCCCAGGCCGCGGATGCCGAAGCTCTTAGCTGTTTCACAATGGGACCTCCTCAGTGACCAAGGCCGCTCTGGTCCTCGGACCCCATTGACAAGCAGCCCAGTTTGCCCTCCTTTGGGGGCCCCTCATCTGGGAACAGCATCCTTTAAGGACCCTGATGCTACTCAGGGTTTTGGTCATCCTCCACCATCTAATACGGGAATTGGGGACCCTGTTTCATTTCTGTCTCATCAGTTTCTCAGGAAGATTGGCATAGATGACAGCTCCTTTTTCAAAATCTCTGTCTCTCTGTTCCACCTTCTGTGGGCCCTGCTTCATCTTGAGTCTGATTTCCCTCAGGGTGGTAACATGGCTTCAACTGCTCTTGGCTTCACATACACACCTGCCCAGACTCAGGAGAGATAGACAGGGTTTTGGGGAATGGTTCCAGAAGAGCAAGGGAAGCTTTCCCCGAGGTACCCGGCACACCTCACCTGCTGTTCCATGGTCCTGAGCTGGGTCAGGATGTGGCCCTTGGACCGAGGAACATGGAAGTCCCCACAATGGGTCTGTGCTCAGGGCCTCTGCCTGGGGTCAGGCCCATTTACTGCACTGCTTTCCTTTAGTGTTTGTCACAAGTCAAAACTCTCTAAGCTCTCTTGGCTCTTGCCAAGTGATCTCTGACCAGCTCATGTGTCTTGACCCTCACAACCAAACGTATAGTCAGGGGGTGAGACCCTGCCCCAGAGTAGGTGGGGGGCGCAGGGCTGGCTTCTTCCAAGGCCTGAGCTGCACAGGAAGCTGGGTTTACCAGGAATGGACACGGGGGAGGCCCCCCGACATCCCCATCCATCTTCTGTCCCCTTGGCCTCCTCTGGTCCTAGACCTGCTATGTACCCACAGTGTCTTGCTTTGTTTTTGGCTGTTTTGCCTTGTTTTGGTTCAGGCACATAGTAGGTGCTGAAGAAGGAATACATTTAGTTGTCCCACCTTTAATTTGAGCATAAAGAAAACAACTCATTATCTTCTCCCTTCAATTTCTCTGGCCCTATGAGGGGTATTATTATCCCTTGGCTTGCTGGGTAGAATATTTATCTTTCTTGTTCTCTGTTGATTAATGTTCACTTACTGGAAGACTGCCCTCAAATACATTTATTCTGTAAAGCCTTACTAAATGCATGCTTTAAGATCTCCTTCATTATGTATGTGTATGTATGTAGGTAATTATATGGTGCATATGTGGTTGGGAAATTTCTTTTGTATTAGTCAGGGTTGTTGTTTTTTTTTTTCCTCTCCAAGTGTTTCATTCCCCTGTGCCACCCCCAGCCCCAAGTGCCCAGGCCTTTCTGAATCTAATGCTTTGGGGGAGGGCTGTGACAGGACAAAGAAGGAAACAAAGGCAGCTCCTTGGGGGCAGGAGAGGAGATCTGATCTGCAATCGCTTGGCAGGGGCCAGTAGAACTTAAAAGTTTTGACTTGGCTTAACTCTGTGGCAAACTATAAGAAATTATTCCTTAATTTCAATGATGAAACCTTCCAGGAAAGTGGTGCAGGGCAGCTAAGTGAGCCTGACCCCAGGCAGTGGTCCTGGCCACAGGCCTGCTTGCTGGGGCGTGGGGATTTCCCACACACTTCAGTCTCATTTCCTGAGTAGCGTCAGCAGGGCACACCAGTCTGAGATGCGGAATCTAAAGTTTAACTTCGCCCCATCCAAATGGTGTGATCTTGCTTGAGTGACCTAATCAACCCCCTTACATCTCAGTCCCATCTATAAATGGTAGCCCATAGCACCCACTTGGAAGGATTCCTGTTGGGATTAGATTATGCATGCACAGCCTTTTGTCCTGTGCCTGGCACAGAGGAGGTGCTTCCAACTGTGGTTTTCATCTCCTTTCTTTCCTTTCTTGGAAGAGCCAGAGTAGTGAGGAAAACCCTGAAAGCAGGCAGTGGGACCATTCATCCGGCCTGGAAAGAAATGGTTCGCATAACATTTGCCTGTGATTAGGGGCAAAATTTACCAGGTGTGTAGCTGTTTAAGGGATGTCAAGAGTCCTCTGCCTCCTCTGGGTCATAGAAAGGCAGGAGCTTGTTTGAGAAGCAGTGTATTGTGTTCAGGAGACATTAGACACTGCATCAATATTGGATGAGGCTTGTGGGGTGCGGTTGGCCGACCGACTGCCGTGTGGGACTACAAGCTGTCCTGTACCTGGCAGGACCTGAAGACTGGCGTGCTCAGGGCTGGGGAGCAGCATGTTGTCCTCTAGGGAAGACACCAGGGCTGAGCTGGCTCCAGCCTGGCCATTCTGTTTCCTGCTCTCCCACTGGAGAGGAAAATAATACTAATACCTACCAATTACCAACTGCTTCCTCTGGGCCAGGCATTTAACAGGTGTTATCTCTTTTAGTCTTCAGAAGGCTCATTTAAGGAAAATGCTGAGAAAACTGAGGCCTGGAGAATTAAGAAACTTGCCCAAGGTCAAATAGTAAGCCATGGTCCTAGGAGGGCCAGCTAACCACATGGGGTGAGAAACCTTTTTCCCAAACACCTGCTGCCCTGCTTCAATCTTTTTTTTTTTTTTTTTTTTGAGACAGGGTCTCACTCTGTTGCCCAGGCTGGAGCACAGTGGCATGATCACTTCTCACTGCAGGTTCACTACTTAGCCTTGAGCTCCCAGGCTAAGTGATTTTTCCACCTCAGCCTCCTGAGTAGCTGGGACCACAGGTGCATACCAGTATACCTGGCTAACTTTTGTATATATATATATTTAAGGTAGAGATGGGGTTTTGTCATGTTGCCCAGGCTGGTCTTGAACTCCTGGGCTCAAGCCATCGGCATGCCTCGGCCTCCCAAAGTGCTGGGATTACAGGCGCGAGCCACCATGACTGGCCCTGCCTCAATCTTAATAGTCACGAATAGTGGGATTGACCTTCATCCCTTCTTTTTTTTCGGGGGGTGAGGTGGGTTGTTGTTAGAGACAGGGTCTTGTTCTGGCACCCAGGCTGGAGTGCAGTGGTGCGATCATAGCTCACTGCAGTCTTGAACTCTTGGGCTCACAGGATCTTCAAGTGACCTTGAAATGGCTGTGGCTGCTCCTTTAGAGGACTCCATCCTGACCCTCTTCTAGCCATGCCTCTCCCTGTGGGGAAGGAGTCTACAGGGCCAAGGAGACGTGACTCTGTGAAGCCCATGGCTCCCTTCTAAAACATTCTCTGGATATTCTCTGCAGTCTTGAACTCCTGGGCTCAAGTGATCTTCCCGCCTCAGCCTCTGGAGTAGCTAGGACTACAGGTGTGTACCACCACAGCCAGCCCTTCCTTCGGTTTGCACTTTCCTCTTCCAACTTATGCTCATTTCCCCCGACCCAGGCCTCTCCCTTTAAGATCAAATATAATAATTCCTGGAATTCCCCACCTGAAAGGCTCCTAGCCTGTTCCAAACTTTTCCGGGCTTCTTTCCCAGATCTATCCTCCCAAAGACTGAGGTCACAGCCAGTATGGCTAGTCTGTGCACCCCTAGGCTTAAGAAATAGCAAAGGGGTGGCTGTGAGTGGGGCATGTGGATGGAGCTTGGGCCTGTGGGTTGGGCTGGGGGCAAGTAGAGTGGGAGATGGGAGGATAAGTCCATGAGTCCAGGACTAAGCATCTGGGAGCTGGCATTCTCTGGAAGAGTGAGAATTCTAAATTTGAAAGCAGCCTTCTAAGTCATTGTGCATGTATATTTTCAAGATAGGCTAGTAGAACATATTTAAGTTTGTTAGCTTGACATATAATTTTAAAATATTAGACCTATGTCTGAGGGCCTCCATTTGTACTCTTGCACCGGGTGCCACAGATATCAGGGGAGTTTGTCACTGTGATCTGTTATGAGAGCACCAAGGGGAACCCTGATGAGCAAGACAGAGAATCACCCACTGAAATGACTGCAAGAGTGTGACTGTTTTTCTCTTTTCTTTTTCCCACTGCCTATGAATGGTCAGACACATCAAAAAGCATAGACAAGAGCATGGGGAATGTGAATGGGCTGTCAGTGAGGGTCAGAGAATCACCTGCACTATTGTGATAACATGATAGACATTCTTGGAAACAGGTGACTCTTTGGCCTTCTGATCAATTTTACATTAAAATTGAAGCAACTATTTGAAAATGCTTTGAAGCATTTACGTATGAGGCTTTTGAAGGCTTTCATCCAGACCAACAAGGCCTATAACAAGTAGCATTTTATTCCTCATTTCCCAAAATAGGAGGTTCAGGGAGGGTGTGTAGTTTGCTCTACATATGACTTCTTCCTTTTCCTCCTGCCCATGGGGAGCTGCTTGGCTACAGACCCCACCCTCTTGCTGTAGGTGACCGTGTCCTTGGTGCTGTGGGCCACGCTGCCAAGGTTTATGGGAAGCTACACCCCTGGGCTATTGTGTTGCCCTCCCTGAAGGCAAATCTCTTTCCCTTCCCACGAATGGCATGTTCCGCCATCTCTATTTATTGTCTTGCCCAGCATCCAGTTCCCAGAACTCCCTGGAGAATTCTCAGACCTCAAACAATGAAGTGTCTCATTCGGAGTAAAAGGAAGAGCACAGGAGTCACCGGAGTCCACGTGGACGCAATTCCACAAGTGACCTTGAAATGGCTGTGGCTGCTCCTTCATGTTGACCGAAGCCAGCTGGCAGCGGTCAGGATTCTGACCATGTTGCCAAAAAGAAGAGGGGCAGAAAGTGCTCCAGCAGGTGCTTGGAGGGATGGCTGAGGGCTCATCTCAAAGGTCAGAGGGTGGAGTCTTGTGACTCCTCATGTAGTATCGCAGGCTGTAGTTATTCCCCTATAGCCTAAGCTGGAAGGCTCAGCTTCAACAGGATTATGAGGTCAAACAAGTTTGTATTGGTCAAACCTCCCTCTGTGCCTCTCCCCCCAGAACCCAGTTGAGAACCTTGCTGTCCTGGCCTCGTATCCAGCATTTGTTCATGGCTTCCAGTACCTCAGGGCTAACACTGGGCTGCCTGGGGGTCCCATCATCCTACCCTCCCTTGCCATACCCTTGAGGACTAAGGTTTACACACAGACACGTGTGCATATGAATGTGTATACACATGTATCGAGCATGTGTATGCACGCACATGCACACACACACTCTGATTCTCTCTCACACACATGCACGTGAAATTCACTGGTTGGGGTTTCATTTTCCCAGAGCTCAGCTCCATGTATTTTTCAATGGGAGGCAAGAGAAGAGTGATCCTTCCATTTCAGGTAGCATTTGCTCATTTAAACCCTGATAACGTGTTTTCTAACCTCCAGGCAAAGTATATGCTGGCCCATGTGGCAAGCCACCCATAAGAATGAGAGAAAAGCGCCCTCCCTCTGGGCAGTTATGGGCCTTGGTGGGCAGAGTTTGGGTTGGATTCCAGTCCCTACTTGCCTCTACCCTGGAGACCTTTGTGCTCTGAGCTATCTCACAGATACTTTGGAGGAGTGATTCTAATGGGAAGAACTCTAGGCTGGGGAAGGAAGGGAAAGTTTTAGGGGTAGATGAAGCCTTGTAGTTGCCCACAGATCATCCCATGTAGGTGTCTGTCTATTCTGTGTGCTCAGAGAGCTGGCATTGCAGGCTGGGCTATGCCTCACTGACTCAGCAGGATTGATTGCTCAGCGCCCCTGCAAAGTGCCTAACACTGCAAGGAGCATCAGTGCCCATTTTATGTGACCAGTTTCTATGGCCCCTTTAAAATGGGCCATAATTTTAGAAACATGACTTAGTTGATCACTTGATCATGTTTGATCAATCAAGGTGACTGATTTGGGAAGTAGGCAGGGTAAGAATATTATAACCATCTTAAAGATGAAAAAACAAAGACTCAGAGAGGTAAAGTGCTATGCACACAGTCACTCAGCTGGTAAGCGGCAGGGTTGGAACCGTGCTCCTCTGGTTCTGCCAATTAGGCAGCCATGTCATGTTGCCTCCTACCAGACAGACTCACGAATGCCGGCTTGAAGCTTAATTTTCTAGAATGTATAAATATTTAAGAAGTCCTGGCCAGGCCCAGTGGCTGGCCTGTAATCCCAGCACTTTGGGAAGCCGAGGTGGGTGGATCACTTGAGGTCAGGAGTTGAGACCAGCCTGACCAACATGGTGAAACCCTGTCTCTACTAAACTACAAAATTAGCCAGGCGTGGTGGTGTGTGCCTGTAATCCCAGCTACTCGGGAGGCTGAGGCAGGAAAATCACTTGAACCCGGGAGGCGGAGGTTGCAGTGAGCTGAGATGCACCATTGCACTCCAGCCTGGGCAACAAAAGTGAAACTCCAACTCAAAAAAAAAAAAAGTCTTTTGTGCCTCTGAAGTATGGGCCATTTGCCCCACACATTCTCTCATGTCCAATCAGCCATTCTGATGGATTCCCCAGCAGTATTACACATAGGTTTAGCACTTAATGTTCTACAGAAGCCTTTTGCTTACAGCAGTCTAGGAGGGTGCCAGGGCAGGTATTCTGTCCATTACATACGAACAAATGGAGACCCAGAGAGGACAGGTGGACTGCCAAGCTCACATGCCTGGTTTGGGACGAGCATCCAGGTCTCCCCATTTTCAAGTCCAATGAGCTTTCAGCCATATCATGCTGCCTCTTCCCCAGAGGGCTTAGGAAACAGGAGAAACTGCCTACAGGAAATATGCTTCACCTTCCTCCACAGACACAGGCTTCTAGGAGAACCAAGCTCCATGGAAACGGAGAGAGAGAGTGTGTATATGGCATTTCTTTTAGGGCCACTCCAGTTCTCATTAGAAGCTGATGAACCACAGCATATTTTCATGGTGGGTCAATCCTAATCCATGTTATCTTCAAAACAAACCAGAATAATTGAATTACAGAATGTCAGAAAAGAAAGAGAACCCCAGAGCCTTCTTTCTAGTCTAATTCTCTCATTTTACAGACGAGGACATAGTTTGGGGCTATGATAGAGACAGGTGAAATGATCTGCTCAAGGCCACCTGCCTAGTTAAGGGTAGAGAGAATATTCTACAGTCCCACGTTGAAGTTGTTAGCTTGGTTTCTGCCTACGTATATTCACGATCTGGGGATTAGGTCCTGAGAAAAGTGAATGGCTGTTGTCATTTCTATCCTATGCTTTACTCTGAAGGAGGCCCAGGAGGGTGACAGAGTGAGGAACGTGGAATACATTGGCATCATATTGGTCACTCTTTGAAATCTGTAATCTGGCACCCCCCAACCTTGATTTCCTATAACCTGGAAGAAAAAAAACAATCTTTACCTCAGCATTGGCCTTGAAGACTTCTGAGTCCTAAGCCTGTGCTCCATCCCCTGCAGATTCCCACTGTTCTCTGGGAGCAGTTGCTCTTTCCACACACATTTACTGAGCACCCATTTCATACCAGGCCCTGTGCTAGGCCAGGGGACACCCAATAAGCAAGACAGACATGGCTTTGATCCTCAGTCTAGCAGAAGCAGAAAGGCTGCTTAAAATGATTCATCCTGGAATTTATTATTTATTTCCTATTTTAAAATCTTTTTAGAGACAGGGTCTTGCTGTGTTGCCTATGCTGGAGTGCAGTGGTACAATCATAGCTCACTGCAGCCTCAAACTCGTGGGCTCAAGTGATCCTCCCACCTCAGCCTCTTGAGTGGTTGGGACTACAGGTACATGCCAACATGCCCAGCTAATTTTTAAAAATTTTTTGTAGAGAAGGGGTCTTGCTATGTTGCCCAGGATGGTCTCAGACTCCTGGGCTCAAGTGATCCTCCTACCTCAGCCTTCCAAAGTTGAGGATTACAGGCGTGAGCCATCATACTTCTATTATTAATCCTAGGAATGCCCTGGCATCAGCATTCATAACTCGGGCTGTTAGGTGTCCCTACTCATCTGTTCTGGATCCTGAGTTGCCTTTCCCAGTCTCTGTGTCTGAAAACCATTCCCTGTTTGTTTCCTGATGCTCATCCCAAATTGGATCCCAAATCCTGATTTATGGGAGCCTACATGGATGACTGCTGACCACACCCCTGTGTTCTCCTTGCCTGGCTTGAGCACCTAAATTTATCAGTGTGCTGGGTGTTGGGGATAGGATGCTGAACAAGTGACACATCACCCCCACTCTCAGGACTGGATGCTGGCTCCAGGCTGCTACCCTCTGGCCCGGGCTAGGCAGTGTTTTCCCTTTTCTCTTGGAACTGATGAGCATTGGCCATGGCTCTCTAATTCAGATGCTAAATCTTTTGCATGTTTTTGCTTTGATCTCATGTCAGTCTCTACCCTTGACTTTGACATTTGGATTCATGGTAACCTCCCTGATGAACTGGCCCCCAACTACAATCTCGGGCATGGCAACTTCCTGCCACTATGCTCACCAGCTTGGTCTACCTCCTAGTTCTCCTTCTTTCTGGCTCACTTCATCTGAAGCAACCATGGCCTAGAGCTGACCCATCATGATAACAGGCCTTCAATAAATATTTATGAAGTTGAGTCAACTCAGGAGCAGTTCAGAAATTCCAGGAACCTCTAAAAGAATACAAAAGAGTTGGCTGTCATATCATGATATGTTCCAAGTTGAAAATAACTCTTTTCATCTCTGTGCTTCTCCGTGCTCCAGAAATTTAAAAGAAAGCATAGAGTCTCATGGTGGGTGAGTCAGGGAGGGCCAAGGGGGCAGTTCTCCATATAGGACTTGCATATCTAGGAATAGTTTGCAGCCTCAAACCCAGCCCTTTGGGAAGCCTGGATGGCCCTGGATGTTGGAAGTGCTGGGAACAGGTCCTACCTGTTACTGGCTGATCTGGTGTGTTCTTACCTCCATATCTCTGCGTGATAGGCTCTGTCCACACAGAAAGCAGAAGCAGTGCCCATCTGTGAAGTTCTTTGTTTCCCTTTAATGCCTCTTTATGTTTTTGCATAGGCTGTTCACTCTGGGTTAGAAACCTCTCAGCCTTCATGAGCTTTCTTCATACCCACATAAGGTAGGTGCAGGCAACTCACTTGGGGCACCAAAGCTAAAGCCTTGTGCAGCCAATGATGAGGCCTTCCCTGAGGGGCAGCCAATGGCCATTTTTCCTGCCATCTGGCTCAATTCAGCCACCATGTCACTAACTGGAGCACACCCTGGTCCTGGTTTACAGTGAGCATTAGCCATGGCTCTCTAATTCAGATGCTAAGTCTTTTGTATGTTTTTGCTTTGATCTCATGTCAGTCTCTACCCTTGACTTTGACATTTGGATTCATAGTAACCTCCCACTTTTCCTGAATTTTGTTTGCATCTTGATGATTTCACCCCCAGAATGAGAGAAAGATTTTGCCTTTTGAAAGAGTGGTTGAGCCTATATATCCTGATGACACAGCCTGTAGGATGGCCCCCAATGCCCTCCACCTCCTGGTGTTCATGGCCTTGTGTAAGGCCCTCCCCTTGAGCTATACACGTATTCTAACAAATAGAATACAGCAAAAGGGATGGACACAATTTCTGAGATTAGGTTATAAAAAGACTGTGGCTTCTGTATCAGGTATCCACTCCTTTCCTTTTCCCTTCCCTCCCCTTCCCTCCCTTTCCTTCCCCTTCCCTCTCCTCCCCTGCCCTCCTCTTCTTTCTCTTTCTCAGATCATTCGCACTGGGGCAAGCAAGCTGCCATGTTGTGGGCAACTTTACAGAGAGGCCCACGTAGCGTGGTGAGAAACTGAGATCCTCAGTGCAATAGCCTGTGAGGACTGACACCTGCCAACTTACCAAAGAGTAAGCTCAGAAGTGGATTTTTCAGCCCCAGTTGAGTCTTGAGATGACGGAAGCCCGAGCCAACAGCTTGACTGCCATGTTATCAGAAACCCTGAGCCAGAATCACTCAGTTTAACCACTCCTAGATTCCTGACCCCCAGAACTGTGAGGTGAGATGTGTTGTTGTTTTAAGCTGCTAAATTTTGAAGTAGTTTGTTATGCAGCAATCGATAAATAATACATATCCCCATATAGGAACTGCAAATACACAGCTTTCATTTCTTCCCTAGCCACTCATTTATAACCTTCTTGTCATATGCCTTCTCTCCCCATCAAGGCTGCTGCTAGCCCATAAGGCATCTTTGTGCCAGTTATGAAACGGGACTCATTCTTCAAGATGCTTTTCTCCCTTTGGCTGGAAGATTGTCATAAATCTCCAATCTGTGAAGGGGGCCATGCTGTATTAGTCCATTCTCATGCTGATAATAAAGGCATATCTGAGACTGGGTAATTTATAAAGGAAAGAGGTTTAATGGACTCACAGTTCCACATGGCTGGGGAGGCCTCACAATCATGGTGGAAGACAAAGGAAGAGCAAAGGAACATCTTACATGGCGGCAGGCAAGAGAACGTATGCAGGGGAACTCCCATTTATTTTTTTTTTTAAGTTTTATTTTACTTTAAGTTCTGGGGTACATGTGCAGAATGTGCAGGTTTGTTACCTAGATAAACGTGTGCTATGGTGGTTTGCTGTACCTATCAACCCATTACCCAGGTATTAAGCCTGGCATGCATTAGCTATTTGTCCTGATGCTCTCCCTCCCCTCGCCCCACTGACAGGCCCTGGTGTGTGTTGTTCCCCTCCCTGTGTCCATGTGTTCTCATTGTTCAGCTCCCACTTACGGGTAAGAACATGGAGTGTTTGGTTTTCTGTTCCTGTGTTAGTTTGGTGAGGATGATGGCTTCCAGCTTCATCCATGGGGAACTCCCACTTATAAAACCATCAGATCTTGTGAGACTTATTCACTGCCACGAGAACAGTATAGGGGAAACCGCCCCCATGATTCAATTATCTCCACCTGGCCCCACCCTTGACATGTGGGGATTATTACAATTCAAGGTGAGATTTGGGTGGGGACGCAGCCAAACCATATCACGTGCCCTGTAGATTGCTGACTTTGTGCAGTGCATAATCCACACTACTGCATATAGCAACCCTGGCCCCACTCCTGCTGAAAATTTCGCCTCCACTGTTGTTGATGACCTGCTGTTTTGCAACCCTGATGATCTTTCCTTAGTTCCCCTTTCCTTTGATCTCTCAGCTTTACTTGACACTGTGGACCACCCCTGCACCCTCACAGTTTGTTATGTGGGATTGCAGGAGACAGGACTGATATCTTGCTGAAGAGATGGGTGATTACATCAATCCCAAATCCCAACACAGCTAAGCTGGTCCTTTAGGGTAATATACCCCAGATGCTGCTTGGGGTCTTCTTGGTGTCATTTTCACAGTCACTTCTGGTTCCAGCTTCCTTTCTCCAATGAGCTCCTCTCCCCTGCAGTTGCCTTGGGCCTCTGCCTTTATTGCTACCCTGATGTTGTGCCAACATGGAAGTCATATTTGTTCCTTCCTTTTCCCCCAAACCTCCCTACTTTGCTAAAGTTTGAGGAGACAAAGGGTGTATATTTTCATTAACGTCACAGACAATGGCCTCTAAGAAGCTTCCGTTCTTAGAAGTCCTTTGGTGCCTTCGCAGAGTGGCTTGCTCCTTGTCTGCCCTCTTACTCCTGCACTGATGCAGCTCCATTGAGCTTTCTCTTTTGCTAGCTTGCCGACTGAGAGCCTAAGCTCCCAGACTTACCTTCCATCTCAAGGCTTCTAAAGGTATTACGCTATGGCAAAACAGTTTCATCTCTAAGAGGAATTCTGTTTCCAGATATTAAGCTGAGTTTTTTTTTTCCTACATGCCTCAGTTAGTCCTTAAAGTGACCATACATTCATCATGTGTTAAATGTCACCTCCCCACACAAATTCAAAGTGGAGGAAGCTGTTTTCAGACAATGAGGCTTCTTTTCCAGAGTCCTTTCTCCCTGGGACCATCTTTTACCTCCCTCTTCGTTGGCATTTCCCCCAGCATGCTGCAAGTACTTTTTATTCCACATTGCTGAGTTTCTACCGCAGCCCAGAAACTCACTTCTAATTTGATGGATTTTCCATTGTGCTTCATGCAGGCAGGCTTTTACTTTGAAAATGATGACAATGAACTAGATGCCTGGGTTGCTCTTCATGCAGGCCCAGTCTTGTACATGACATTTTCTTTGACCAGCTTTGAAAAAAATCCAATTTAGATGGTCACCACCTGCAGTTTCAGCCTTGCACTCAGTGCTAACTCAGAGGTTCCTTTGTTATCAAAACAATTTGGCTAGAATTTGTTGAATAAACCCCTTCCTCTACCCTCTGGCATTGCTACTTTCCAAAAATTTGCTAATGGTGTCACAAATTCTTTCCCTCCCTGGCTTTTGTGACATGAGATCTTTCCTCCCTTTCTTTCTGCCTCTCAGACCACCCGTCTCTCTTTCTTTGGAATTGCTTCCTTCTGCTGTCCCTCAAATGTGAGTCCTTCTGGCTCACTCTTCCCTCTTTTCCAGGATGCCTCATCTACTTTTGGGAATTTTGCTACTGCTATTTGTTAAGCTACTAAATATTTCCTTCATTTATGTATGTATGTATTTTTTATCATCTTAATCAATTTTTGGGGGGAGGGGACAGAATCTCTTGCTCTGTCTCCCAGGCCGGAGTGCAGTGGTTCTACCTTGGCTCACTGCAACCTCTGCCTCCCAGGTTCAAGCAATTCTTGTGCCACAGCATCCCGAGTAGCTGTGATTACAAGCACGCGCCACCATGCCTGGCTAATTTTTTCTTGTAATTTTTGTAGAGACGGGGTTTTACCGTGTTGTTCAGGCTGGTCTTGAACCCCTGACCTCGAGTGATCTGCCTGCCTCGGCCTCCCAAAGTGCTGGGATTACAGGTGTAAGCCACCATATCTGACCCAACTTAATGATTTAAAAATGTACAGTTCAGTGGTATTAAGTACATTCAGATGATTGTGTAGCCGCCACCACCATCCATCTCTCTTCTCTCAACCCCTGGCAACCACCATTCGACTGTTGTCTCTATGAGTTGGACTACACTAGGTGCCTTATATAAGTGGACTGCTACAGTATTTGTTCTTCTGTGACTGGTTATTTCACTTAGCATCATGTCCTAAGGCTCATCTATGTTCTAGCATGTTAACTATTATTTTCACATGAGCGATTCCAGATGTGTAGCTCCAGTTCTTACCTTTCTCTTAAGATTTGTTTCTGCACCTCCACCTCCCTTTGGATTCTCTGACACAGATGCATTGCAGTTGCTTCAAAGATACTGAGAAAACGTGGCTTTTTGTCTTATTTTTTTGAGATGGAGTCTTGCTTTGTCACCCAGGCTGGAGTGCAGTGGCATGATCTTGGCTCACTGCAACTTCTGCCTCCTGGGCTCAAGGGATTCTCGTGCCTCAGCCTCCTAAGTAGCTGGGATTAGAGGCACGTGCCACCAGGCTCATCTAAAACCAGGCTCATCACCCTTCTCCCCAAATCAGAGTTGCTCATTCCTATCAACGGGAAGATGCTTCCACAGTCTCCTTCAATCTTGGGTCATTTCTATTCCTTCTTCCTTTTTCTCTTCCACATCAAGTTACCCCACAGCTTATAAACTGTCTATTCTATAGGCTCCTTATTGCCTATAGAATGAAGTTCAAAGTCCTCAGACCACTTAGTTTGGCCTTGAATTGGAATTAGTCTCAGTTGTATGTGTGTGAGAAAACCCAAAATAATAGTGGTTTTAAAATAACATAAAAGTCCACTTTTTCAGCCGGACACAGTGGCTCATGCCTGTAATCCCAGCACTTTGGGAGGCCGAGGCAGGCAGATCACTTGAGGTCAGGAGTTTGAGACCAGCCTGGCCAACATGGTGAAATCCTTTTGCTTTGTAAACAAACGGAGGCCTGGAGGCCTGCTTCAGGAGGAAACAGCAACTCCTGGAGAGGCCCCAGAAGGAAATTCAGGGCATGTCTTCCCCAGGTGGGGCTGCCCCTAGCAGGCCCCCAGCAATCACCAGCCTTGTAATCCACAGGAGGCCAAGAACCTGGAATCTGCGGCTGCATGTATTTCATAGGAAGTTTGTCTTGGGCCCATCCTACATGGTGTATTATTAAAGTGCCATAAAGGTCTCATTTAATTGTTGATTGCCCCAACACAGGAACGCAAGGACAATATTATAGCCAGGCCTCTGCTCAGGGTGAATGATGCCTTGTATTAGATGAGACAGCAGGGTTGTTGATGCATTTTCCTGTCTGGCTCCTTCTTGGGCTCATGACAGTCAAGTTTTGTAGGATTGTGGAGTCCCCTCCACCGATTCAATGCACTCTCAGTCATTGTCTTGCACACGTGGTTCTCCTAGTGTGGTCCCAGCACCAGTGGCATCAGCATCACCTGGGAACTTGTTAGAAATACAAATTCATAGACTCCCTCCAGTCCTGCTAAATTAGATGGAGCCCCGCCATCTGTGTTTTAACAAGCTTTCCAGGTGATTCGTAGAAACACTGCTCTTGTAGGTGCCCAGGTGAAAGTTGAAAAGGGCAGTAAGCAAGAGTTGGCAGACTCTCTGGGTTGCATGAGGGCCATCGGGAGGTTGGTGAGGTGTGTTCCTGCCTATCTGGGGTGCTGGCTTTGGGAGCATGAAGGCCTCCTTCCACAGCATCCTGATTCCTGAGAAGAAAAAGCTCATTCAGAAGGAGGAGCCATGGACAGCAAAGGACAGACAACAGGTAGGGAAACTGAGGGGATGGGATATAGAGAAGCAGCTGGGACAGGCAGACCTGGTCAGGCGCATCAATGTCTAAAGTGCAGGCTGGGCCAGCATAGATACTGGTCTCTTGGCCAGCTTTCTTTTATGCTTTTGGGTACATGTCAAAGATTCCAGGCCACCCTGCTGACAGGGAGTTATTGATTCCTGCCTGGTTATTGGGTAATGCCCTTCACAGCTGCCTTGCATGAGCAAACATGTTCAATGAGCAATTCAGGTTCTCCATATTTTCACAGTGTACTGGGCACCTCTCACACCTCTTTTTTTTTTTTTTTTTTTTTTTTTTTTGAGATGAGTCTTGCTCTGTCGCCCAGGCTGGAGTGCAGTGGTGCAATCTCGGCTCACTGCAACCTCCGCCTCCTGGGTTCAAGCAATTCTCCTACCTCAGCCTCCCGAGTAGTTGGGATTACAGGCACACACCATCACGCCTGGCTAATTTTTGTATTTTTAGTAGAGACGGGGTTTCACCATGTTGGCCAGGCTGGTCTTGAACTCCTGACCTCGTGATCCACCCGCCTTGGCCTTCCAAAGTTCTAGGATTACAGGCGTGAGCCACTGTGCCCAGCCTCTCACACCCCTTGTAACTCATTTTCCACCACTGGCTCGCCGTGGTCGTGTGGGACAGCACATCCTTCCAAGATGGTGCAGTTGGATGTTATGATACAAGCACTGTCCACTTGATTAAGGCTTTCATTTCACATCTTTGCCTCCTAGAGCTATGTCATTCCAGCGATGGGAAGATGAATGAGATATTGAGGTGACGTGTGGTCAGGAATGTCTGAGTTAGACGTGTCCCGTTAAAGTCAATAAGTCATTTTCATGAATAGTTATTGATGAGAAATCATAAATTGTTCCAGTGCTGTGACTAAATCCTGTAACTGCATTCCTACTGTCGGGCAGGGAAGGTTCTGTTCTACATGTCTATTTTGCACATTTATGCTAAATAATGCATCAGTCCTCTGTTAGCACGTCATAGTCACTGTGTCTGTACCTGTCAACAGGAATGGCTCAGACACGCTTGGCTGGAAGGGATTGTGGCAGTGGAGGTAGGGATGAGGTTGGAAATAGGAGGGCAACAGGAAGGAGGCACTGGGAGAGGAGGGGCGACCCATATGTGGAGCTGGACTCTGAGGGAGGTGGCTGAAAAATCACTAGGTCTAGATCAGTTTGAAAAATGATGTGGGCTTTTCAGGGTCCAGATGTGGGACACAGGAAAGAGAGTCTCTTGCATTGGTGAGAAACAAGGGTAGGCAGGTAACCACCTGAAAGCCCATCAGACTTGGAGCTGGGGGAGGTGAGGGCAAGGCTTCAGATTGGAGACCAGCCAAATATGCAGCGGCTCCAGGCCTCAAAAAAGGAGCTACCCAGGAACTAGGGTGATGACCAGGATGGTGTAAAGACAGTTGGTGGACATGTGGCATCTGTTGCAATAGATGTGTGGCTGGAACGGTAACTCCGGCATCCACGACTGGCCACACTCTTATCCAGAATTGGCTCAGGATGGTGAAAGGTGTCAGGGCCTGTAGGAGGCAGGACTGCCAATGCCGGAGCCCCAGTTCCATTGCTGGGAAACAACGTGGGGTGAATTATCAGTCAGATAGTGTCCAAAGATGTCATGGATTTTCCAAGCTTTAATTACAAGTCTACCTCCCCTGTCCATGGCCCTGCCCATGCTCTCCCTGGAGGAGGTTTCTGAAACTTTGTTGGCTTCTCGAACATGGTGAGTTATAGTGGAAAGCACTTTGGAATCAGGCCAGCCAGGCTCTGAATCCTGACTTTGCTGTGTAAACTCAGCTCTTTCAAGAGAATGTCTCTTCATCTTGCTCAGCTTCAGTTTCCTCATCCATAAAATTGTATCATCATGTCTTACAAATATGATTTCAGTAATGAGGATGAAGGAGATCAGGCACCTATGGCGTCATGGAGAAGACTGGGAGTCAATGTCAGTCCTCTCTCGTTCCCTCTGCTCCCTCTTTCCAGTCCACATGCATTATAGGGGTGGAATCATGCAATACAGAGCCTCTGGCATTTGGGTTTTCAAAGTAAGAGAGGGACTCCAGCCCTCTATAATGCATGTGGACTGGGAAGAGGGAGCAGATTATAAAGACACATGCACATGTGCGTTCATTGCAGCACTATTCACAATAGCAGAGACATGGAATCAACCCAAATGCCCATCCATGATAGACTGGATAAAGAAAATGTGGTACATAGACACCATGGAATACTATGCAGCCATAAAAAGGAACGAGATCATATCTTTTGCAGGGACATGGATGGAACTGGAAGCCATTATCCTCAGCCAACTAATGCAGGAACAGAAAACCAAACACGACATGTTTTCATTTATAAGTGGAAGCTGAACAATGAGAAGAACATGTAGACACAGGGAGGGGAACAACACACATTGGGGCCTATGTGGGGAATTGGGGAGGGAGAGCATCAGGAAAAATAGCTAATGCCTGCTGGCCTTAATACTTAAGTGATGGGTTGATCTGTGCAGCAAACCACCATGGCACACATTTTCCTGTGTAACAAACCTGCACTTGTACCCCAGAACTTAAAAACCCAAATGCCTTGAGGTGCACACGTTATTAGTCTGTTCATGTTAGCTTTGTTGTAAATGGGGGCTTGGAAAGAGGGAGTTCAGCTAAGTTTCTTTCACTTGGAAAGCTAGAGGCAATTTTCTTTCTTTTCTTTTAGTAAGAGAGAATCTATGTCAGATATTCTATCCTGGAGATCAAGTTCAGTCCTCTGGGCACAGTCTGGTCACACAATATCCATCGCAATTACAGGAGAGGTTGGGATCTGGGCTTCATCCACAACATTGATCGTGGACAAACAGTCTAGCTCTGGTTTCATGTTAGGAGGAGCCGAGGTGGAGTGTGGGCTCAGGCACTCAGGCAGCCCATCCACTCTGTACCACAAGTTCAAGACAACTCAGTGATTTATTCCCCTCTGTAGGAATACATTTCTGAAATTTCTGCCTCATAGCCAAGACATGAATTTGGATTCTGCTGCTTCAAACAGCCCTGCTTGCTCAGTGTTCTCCCCCTGTCCCCACCGGAGTTTGAGCTGCATTTGCTGCTGTTGGCAGAATCTGCCAGAGGAAGGGGAGGGCCTGTGGACCTTCAAAATGTAATTCAACTGCAGGGTTGCCTGGCACAGCAGAGCATCACAGCTGTACTTAATCTTCCTGGAGCAGAGCAGCTGGAGGCCTCCCAGCGTCCTGGCGCCTGTGGGCGGATGATTGGCTTGCCCCAACTATGCATTTGAGCCAAAGAGTGTTCAAAAGGAAAAGTCAACGTTGCAAAGCTATAGCTGTTCCTAAGTGCTGTGTGTGAGGGGTGTGTGATGTGTGTGTGTCATCCTGGCTTTAAACAAACTTTTGAGAGCTGTAGTATGCTCAGTTGTTTTTGCTACACAGACTGGTAAAATACATGTGGAGATTTCTGAAAGAAACAGGAGAAAAAAATGGTAGGAAAGAATATAGGAGCCCTCTTTGGGGTCAGACAATTCTGGAAGAGGAGAAAGAAGAGGAGGGGAGAGGAAAAGTAGAGAAGAGAGAGGACAAGGAGGAGAGGGTGGCCAGGAAGAGAGGCCCCAGCTCAGCAATTGTCAGGTTCCAGCCCCAGCTGAGATCCGAGGGGAGTGGGTGGATGGGGCAAGGTGTGGGGGTTGCTGGAAGAACACTCGAGGAGTGGGTGGACGGGGCGGCGGGCGGCGGTGGCTGAAAGAACACTTGAGAGACAGCAGGTAAATCAGACGTGGCTTTATTCAGCATCTCTCATCAGCTGTTCACTTATACTGTCCGCTCTGTCTAGGCTGCTTACTCTGGCCACTCCCACACAGAGCTGCACAGCCGGCTCTCGTTTGCCTTCAGGGTCAGCAGCTTAATTCTTTCTCTGGGCACGAGCAGCCTGAGCTGTGTCCTGGCTCCCCTCTGTTCATCTGCAAAGACGGACAGCTCTGTCTCTCTCTTTCTCTGGGTTCCAGCACGCCTGTACAGTGTCAGCAAGGCAATTATGTCTTTACAGACAATAGTGGCTTAGAGCCAAGTGATAAGCCTTCCCGTGTTATGGCTACATGGCTGTGATAACAGGTGGAGTTATACGCCTGCACTGTAAACTCGCTGAGTCACTCTGGATGTATACCTCGGCCTGTGCTTGACCAAAGCACAGCCATGTTCCTTGCAGCAATTCAGCTCCGCGTACTGTGCCGTCACTGTATTCCAGTACCTGTAACCTAAACAGCTTTCTGTGCCCTGCTATTCAACGAGGTGTCTTCAGGGGAAGGTGTCATGATGAATGTCCAGTGCTCTGGGCATCTCCGAGTTCAGCCAGGTAAGCATCTGCCCTAGCAGATGGGCTATGACCATGATCTTGGTTTTCACTTCTTTTGACAACATTGCCATAAGCTCTTTGAGGACCTAGACTGTCAGTGTTATTTACTGCCATATCCGCAGTGTCTAGCATGAGGCAGGTGCATAGTAAGTATCTGTTGAATGAACAGGAATGAATATTCAATTGAATACTGTGGAAAAAAGAACACCAGAGACCAATGAGGGACTTTAAGCACAGACACAACACTTGATATCAGTGCCTCTTAAATTTTAATGTGCATATTAATCTCCTGAGGATCTTGTTAAAGTCCCTCATGGGCCTCACTTGAGAAGCTGCTAGAAAGGCTGAAGGTGGCTTCACCAGAAAGTGGAAGATTGTAGGTTGGAACTCAAGTTTAGATCCCGGCCTTGTCTGTAGCCTCTTGAGCTCTGTAGTCCAGTGACCCAGCACCAGACAAAAAGAAAAAGCCAGCTTTTCCTCTCCTCCCTCTGCTGGTGCCCTGGGACACTTCTATAGTAAAGAGGTTTTCCTGCAGCCTGTACTGTGCACTTGTTGTGATTAAAGCCTTCTTGAATTCCAGGGAGGTGAGCAATAGAGTCCCATGGGCATAGAAGGCCAATGATCATTTTGCTAGGGGTCTTTGCCATCTTCTGGGCTCTTTGAGGTCCAAGGTTCTTGTCTAGCTTGGATATTAATTCTGGTGATTTGGGACAGACTCACTTATTCTCTTCTGGAATCCTAGTTATACATAACTATCAACAACACCTCCATCTCCACCTACATTTTACTACTGCTGCCTCTACCCCTTCTGCAGCTCCACCACCTCCAGCTTGCATTCATACAGTGCTTTGGCAGTTTTAATACTGCTGTCACTTCAGCCTATGAAGTAGGCACCATTATCACCATTTGAAAGAAGTATAAGGGCCCGAGAAACTAAGTCCTACGTCTGAGGTCTCACAGCTGGTGAGTGGCAGGGCTGCAGCTCAGATCAGTCTTCTGACTCCTGAGCAAATGCTGTTACTCGCTCCCCCGAGTGTTGACGCTGAGGGGGTGCCACATCCTCCCTCCGCAGTCTCGTCACCAGGTCTTCAGCTTGTACTCTGGTCGGGGGCTGGAGAAAGACTCCTCCTGCCCTAGGCACGGTGCTGATCTCATCCAGAGAGGGAACTCAAGCCTCCCTGGGCACAGTGGTCAACCCCGGCTGGTTTATGGCCATGCTTCTGTGCCGAAGCAGCCACTGAATGGGTCACTTCACTCACACAAACTCAACTCACTGGAATGGATGGGGGTGTGGCCAGTGATGTCACCATCACTTCATAGCTTAAACTTGTAGAGTCAACCTTTGAAAAACATTGATTTATGTCTCAAAATAAATCAACAACTGCCTCACTCTGGCCCCATCCTGACTCTGTGATGTGGACAGAAAGACACAAAGTCATAAAGCACTGATAATAAGCACCTTGCTTTGTTTTGGTGATGTGCACTTTCAAAAAGCCCATAATACTTTATTTCATCTTAATCCTCCGAATGCCTCCTTTTAAGGTAGCCAGGGACAGGTAGTATTCTCACTTTATAGATGGGAAAACTGAGGTTCAGAGAGGTTAAAGGTCACAGGTCTAGGACCAGCATGTAAATAGTCTGCCTCCAATTCTTTTGACCACATTGTACACATTGGAGTTGATGCCTGCCTTGGACACAGTGTTGCCATCCAGCAGAGACTCCACCCAAGCCCTGACAGATTTATTACTAGCAATTTGTCATTGCTTATTTTATTATCAAAAAAATGCAACTCTTTAGAAAAACATCTGAAGATTAACCAACAAAGTGTGCAGAGAGCTGAGCTGGCATTGGAGTGATGAGATATTATGCCCACAGGAGGGGCAGGGCTGTTTCTAGATGGGAGGGGCACAGGTACTGGAAACCAGTAGATCAGAGGTCACACCCAGAGATGGAGGGAGCAGCAGGTAGAGGTGTGCCAACCGGCAGGCCTGGAAGAAGCAGATCAGGTCCAAAGTCTGAGTTTTAAGAAGCCAGGCTCAGAATTCTCCAGGAAAAATGGTCAGGGACTCATATCTGGCAACAAACAGAGACTGGGCAAAAAAACCAGAGGGAGTCTAGGCAAGAGACCAAGAATACCAAGAGTGGAGCCTGATACTGAGCCTTGCATAGAGCAGAGGCTGTTTCTAGGCTTCCTGTCCAAAACAGAACTAGGTTTAAGTGTTTACATTGGCCCGAGTCCATGGAGGAAGGCAGGCCGGTCAGTGGACGGCAGTGAGAGCCCAGGGAAGTTCCAGACAGATGATTTTTGTAGGCTGTGTTTCCCAAGCTGACATCCTGCAGAACAGAATGTCTCCGTAGAATGCAGAATGCAGAACAGAGCATCTCTGCAGGATGCTCTGTGTCAAGAAGGGTCTGTGCTCAATAAAGATGGGAAATACTGGACCCAGCGAAGTTCAACAGGTTCCTTTATTACAACATTTCTCTGCATCTTAAAGAAATGCACTGTGTGTTTCCAAGGGAAAGCTATTGAAAGCAGGGTTTTCCAAGCTTTTTTGACCTTGGTCCACATATTAACATCTGGAACACAGTTTGGGAAAGTCAGTCCAACCCTTCCTTTCCTGGGCCAGTGGTCACACCTGCAACACTATCTGCTTTCTGTACCTGACCCCTGGCCTTTTCCCTTACCATGACTATCCTGGAGGAAGGGGTTGGGTTAGACACTTGAATAAAATAGTACTGTGATTTTAAGAATTAGTCCACCCTTTCACCTCTGATTTGGTGTGTTTCCTTCCAATTTTTTTTTTTTTTTTTTTTTGAGACAGAGTCTCTGTCACCCAGGCTGGAGTGCAGTGGCCTGATCTCGGCTTACTGCAACCTCCACCTCCTGGGTTCAAGTGATTCTCCTGCCTCAGCTTCCCAAGAAGCTGGGATTACAGGCGCCCACCATCATGCCCAGCGAGTTTTTGTATTTTTATTAGAGACCAGGTTCCACCATGTTGGCCAGGCTGGTCTCAAACTCCTGACCTCAAGTGATCTGCCCACCTCCGCCTCCGCCTCCCAAAGTGCTGGGATTACAGGTATGAGCCAATGTGCCTGGCTGCCTAGAGGCTTTTAAAATCCAGATTGCTGGGGCCGGGCATGGTGGCTCCTGCCTGCAGTCCTAGCACTTTGAGAGGCAGAGGTGGGTGGATTGCCTGAGCTCAGGGGTTCGTGACCAGCCTGGGCAACATGGGGAGATCCCTTCTCTACTAAAAATACAAAAAATTAGCTGGACGTGCTGGCTTGGGCCTGTAATTCCAGCTACTCAGGAGGCTGAGGCAGGAGAATCACTTGAACTCGGGAGGTGGAGGTTGCAAGTGAGCCGAGATCATGCCAGCCTGGGTGACACAGCAAGACTCTGCCTCCAAAAACAAACAAACAAACAAACAAAAAAACCAGATTGCTGGGTCTCAGCCCGAGAATTTCTCTTCTGATTGAATAGGCCTAGGATGAAACCTTAGGGTTTGCATAAATTCCTGCCGGATGCTAACGCTAGTGGCTTAAGGAACACGTGTTGAGAACTACTGGTCTATACTTTCCAAACCTGAATTGGTTGGGAAGCTTGGTTTTATTTTTTATTTTAAATTTCCTTATTGTTTAAAACACTTTATTTTAAAAAAGTTTATTTATTTATTTATTTTTTATAACAGATACAGGGTTTCACCATATTACCCAGGCTGGTCTCCAATGTCTAGGCTCAAGCAATCTGCCCGCCTCGGCCTCCTAAAGTGCTGGGATTACAGGCATGAGCCACCACACCTGACCTGGTTTAACAAAAGTGGATTCCTGGGGCTCACTTCAGACCAAATGAATCAAAATTGTCAGGGATGAACATCCCTCCTGCCTCTCTTAGGCCTTGCCTCTGCTGGCCTGTTTCCTCTTGCCTGTGCCTAACAGAGATGCTGGGATGAAGGCCCCTCAGCTGCCAGTGTTCATGAAAACTCATCACTGCAACTGGGCTGCAAAAGTTCAGAAGAACATATATTTGCCCTTTGATTAGTTTTAAGATGGTCCCTACCTGGGTATATTGTTTTTTTCTCTCTAGTGGAAGTAAAAACAATCACTTGTAATTTGTCAAATGTTGATTTTTTTTTTCAACAATAATCCTATGGGATATCATTAGCCCCATTTTATATGTGCTCAGAAGGTTTAAGACATTTACTTGTGACTCTAAGTCGCATGAGTTTCCTATTCTCCAGTGCTTGGAGGCCAGGTTCCAGGTGAATGTAAAAACCTTGATCTGGAGGTTAAGTGCCTCTCCTTTCTACCCGGGGACAGGTGTGCAGGAAGAACTAATGGCTCCATCTGAGGCTAGGCAACACTGCAGTGAGCCCCGCAGCATCAGCCTGCATTTTATTTCAGGTAGTTTTTATACAAAAACATCTTGATGAGGCTTTTATATTAGAACTTCAGAAAAAGGAATGGAGATGAACTGAATATATGTGGAATATATATAATACGTACTGAATACATATAATGTGGATGTAATTAGATATGTTAATTGAACAGTTTTCATTTTTACTTGTTGCATAAAATTCCCTTGCTTGAAAATTGTTATTTTAAAAATGAGGAAACTGGACTCAATAAGATCAGATGACTTATCTATGGTCATGGAGTTAGCAAGTGGCTGAACTAGAATTTAAAGGCTGTCTGACTGTTAATCCTGTGCTCTTGAAATTAAAAAGACTATAACAAGTGTTGGTGAGGATGTGGGAGAACTGGAACCCTCATACCCTGTTGATGGGTATGCAAAATGTCACAACCACCCTGTAAAACAGTGTGGCAGTTTCTCTTAGAGTTAAATGTATTCTTGTCATATGACTTAGCAATGTTATTCATAGATGTGTACCTAATAGAAATGAAACATGTATCTAACACAAAGACTGTACAATGTTGATAGCATTTTTGTTCACAATAGTCCAACACTGGAAACTACCAAAATGTCTAACAATAGGTGAACGAAATAAACTGAGGTATATCTGTACAATGGAATACTACTCAGCAACCAAAAAACACAATGAAAAAGACTCACAATGTGGATGAATCTCAAAAATGTTAAGCCAAACATCAAAGAGTGCCTATTCTGATTCCATTTACAGAAAATTTTAGAAAAGGTAAAACAAATCTATAGGGATACATGTGCAAGAGTTAGGGTACAAAACAGGCTCTGTTTTTAAATATCCATTTGACAGCTGAGAAACTGAAAGGTCAAATAGCTTGTCCAGGATTACACAGCCAGAAAACAGTGTACTGGGGACAGGCAAGCTTGTTCTGGAGCTTGTCTACCTAATCTCCAAGCTGTGCTGAATCTGGACCTACCCTTCTCTTCTTGATCTTGGGCTGTCCTGTTTGACTTTGCTCATTTTTCTGGCTCCCTCTTCTCTTTGAGAAGGAGTCCACTTACTTTGCCCGGAGTCTAAGCCTGGGCTTACTACTTCCCTCTGCAAGTAACTTGATACCCTGTAAGGCTGATGTCATTTGGAGTTTTCTGCTCTTCCTCTATATCTTTAATTTCATTTGATATTCCCTTTTCCCACATTTGCTGTTCTCTCTCCAATCTCCCAATGCTCCTGCTTGCTCTCCTCAAATCTTCTCTTTTGCTTCCTCCTGGTCTCACTCTGTCTACATCTGTACCTTGCTGTTTGAGCTGGGTTTTTTTTTTTTTTTTTTTTTTGAGATGGAGTCTCACTTTGTCATCCAGGCTGGAGTGTAGTGGTGCAATCTCAGCTCGTTGCAACCTCCGCCTCCCAGGTTTAAGTGATTCTCGTGTCTCATCCTCACAAGTAGCTGGGACTATAGGTGCGCATCACCATGCGCAGCTAATTTTTGTATTTTTGGTAGAGGCAGGGTTTCACCATGTTGGCCAGGCTGGTCTTGAACTCCTGGCCTCAAGTGATCCTCCTTCCTTGGCCTCCCAAAGTGCTGGGATTACAGGCATGAGGCACTGTGCCCAGCCATTGGGTGGGAACTTCCTGTTAGGCTGAGATTCTCAGACAAACATGACAAACATACTCTTCGATAAGGAAACTCTGCCCCTCCTAAGGTTGGCAGATTTAGGGTGACAGGATGACCAGTTATATGTCAATTTCAGACAAACAACAATTTTTTAGTATAAGTAAGTCCCAAATATTGCATAGGACAAACTTATACTAAAAAATGGTTGCTTATCTGAAATTCAAGTTTAATTAAATGTCCTATGTTTTGTCTGGAAACTCTAGGCCCTCCTGATATGCCATCATCTTGGTAAAAAAGGAGAGGGTTTTGACAGAAACTCCAAGAAGATAATCTCACTGGGAAGGAAAGCAGACTGGCCCTTCAGGGTTTCTTCACTCACATGCCTCTCATGGTGCTGATCTGGTTTCACCCTTGAACCCTAAGTGTTTCCTCTTGGTCTCCCTGGCTCTCTGTCCTGTCCTTCATCTCCTTAACTCCTGCCACCTTTCCTGGTCCCCTACCCACTCATGTTGCTCCTTGGCAGGTGGCTTGATCCACTTTCTCTAGCCTTATACGTATTATACCTTCTCAACTCCAACTTGCATTGGCTGTAGGTATATACCCTGCCCCGCCCCATCTGGGAAGGCTCTGGGACTCACCATGCCGAGATCAAAGCCCTAGTCCATTCAGGACATCAGTGCATTCCACTCATTCAGAGCCTTCACACTTCCCTCAGTTTCTACCTACTATGTGTGAGTCACATGAATAGACCCACATTCATTGCCAGGGTGGAAGCTGAACAGGTTTCTGATCTACTAGGTTGTTTTCAAGTGGTTACTGGAAAAAAAGACTTAGAAATATATCCTTAGTTGGCAAAGGGCAAAAAGGGCCTATGTTTAGTTTATGTCAATAAGATTCTGGTGATTGTTCCAGGCAAGGAACAAAGGAAATCTCCTGTTAAGCTACCTGGTGAGAGATTTGGCAATTCTTTCTATTTCCTTTAAGATTTTGTAGGCACAAAACGCACATAAATCACTTGATCTTTGGAAAGCTAAGTGTAAAGTTGTTTGTGGGCATGGTTGGCTAGTTTATAGCCACAATATTTTAGAGGGAACAAAGCATTTAAGTTTGTTTCGGACATTGGTCCAGAAGTAAAGGTGGGATCAATCAATCAGTCCATAAACATAGCACCATTTCCCTGTAAGAACAGCAGTAAAAAACCTACCCACCCAGTTTTAGGGAAGACACACAAAACAAGAAAATCTCATATGAGGCTGGGCTCAGTGGCTCACGCCTATAATCCCAGCCGTTTGGGAGGCCAAGGTGGGCAGATCACTTGGGGTCAGGAGTTTGAGACTAGCCTGGCCAACGTGGTGAAACCCCTTCTCTATTAAAAATACAAAAATTAGGCCAGGTATGGTGGCTCACACCTGTAATCCCAGCACTTCGGGAGGCCGAGGCAGGCAGATCATAAGGTCAGGAGTTCGAGACCAGCCTGGCCAACATGATGAAACCCTGTCTCTACTAAAAATATACAAATTAGCCGGGTGTGGTGATGGGTGCCTGTAATCCCAGATACTTGGGAGGCTAAGGTAGGAGAATTGCTTGAACCTGGGAGGCGCAGGTTGCAGTGAGCTGAGATCTTGCCATTGCACTCCAGCATGGGCGACAAGAGCAAGACTCTGTCTCAAAAATAAATAAATAAATAAAATAAATAGGCCGGGCATGGTGGCTCACATCTGTAATCCCAACACTTTGGGAGGCTGAGGTGGGTGGATCACCTGAGGTCAGGAGTTCGAGACCAGCCTGGCAAACATGGCGAAACCCTGTCTCCACTAAAAAGTACAAAAATTAGCCAGACGTGGTGGCGTGCACCTGTAATCCCAGCTACTCAGGAGGCTGAGGCAGGAGAATCACTTGAACCTGGGAGGCAGAGGTTGCAGTAAGCCGAGATCACATCACTGTACTCCAGCCTGGGTGATAAGAGTGACACTCCATCTCAAAACAATAAAAAATAAATTAAACATAAAAATTAGCCAGGTGTGGTGGTACATGCTTGTAATCCCAGCTACTCAGGAGGCTGAGGGAGGAGAATCACTTGAACCTGGGAGGTAGAGTTTGCAGTGAGCTGAGACTGCACCACTGCACTCCAGCCTGGGCGACAGAGCAAGACTCCATCTAAAAAAACAAAACCAAAAAAGGAAGAAGAAACTCTCATATGCAGTATTATTTCTCATGTGCAGTGCTGGAAAGGAAGCAGTGGTCCTGGCTGGGAGAAGCTGGAGAAGGAATCAAGGAGAAGATGCTATTGTGTGTACATGTATATGCATATTTTTGGTAGAGAGAGGGTCTCACAATGTTGCCCAGGCTTGTCTTGAGCTCCTGGCCTCAAGCAGTCCTCCACCTTGGCTTCTCTAAATGCTGGGATTACAGAGGTGAGCCACCACATCCTGCTGAGAAGGTGCTATTTGAAGTCGGGTCTGGATGGCTGAAAACATGTTGTGTTCCAGGGAGCAGAGAATGTGTCCTCCTTGGGTCCTCCATAGGCCTGTCCCCAGTACATGAGGTGTATAGGAGGAGGCGGGGGCAGGCAACAGCTTGGCCATTATTCCTGGCTTAGGTTCCCACTGGAAGTTTCCTTTGCAGGGTGCTGGGGGGAGCAAGGTGAGTGCATCTCCTGGAGGGGCTGCCCTTCCAGCCCAGAGGACCCTGAACTCAATTTTAATGTTCTCAAATTTTAATGTCTGCCTGAGTCGTTTTGGGTGGGGGAGGAAGCAGTTGAGTGATAGATTAATGTAGGAAAAAATTTAGCTGGAGAGTTTGTTGAAATACAAATTGTTGTCTATATCTACCCCCACAAAATCCAGATTCTGAAGTTCTGGCATGGGGCCCAGTAATCAGGGTTTTTAACAAGCTCTCCAGGTGATTCGATGTCAGTGGAACTTGGACTGTATTTCACCATATCCTCAGCAATGCTGTGGGAGATATCTAATCATGCCACACCCCTGCCTGCAAGATACTGTCAAATGCATCCTGGGCTAAGTCCAACTCTTTAACATGGCTTTCAAGTTTCTTCACAATTTTCCAGACGCAAGTACTAAGGAGGATAACAGAAGGAGATACCATTTCTCACCGAAGAAATAAAACATCCCTAAGTCTCTTATGGAAACACTGCACAATGTTAACGGCAGGCAGGCACATGCTAGGTTAATAGAAGCCAGTTTCACTCCCGTTGCTTCTGATCAGCTCTGAAAATCTTGACATTCCCCAAACATTTCACCATTCACTCCATAGCTCTGTGCCGAGGCAGATGCTCTAATCTGTGCCCCGGCTGCTTTCTCCCTCTTCTTGAAATTCCAACCTTCTTTTAAAACTCGGCTCAAAGGTACTATCCTATCACCACTGCTCTGAAGGCTTCTTGAGTTTTCCCTTATTCTGTCTCATGCAGGCCCTTGTATGTATCTTTATGATAGCATTCACTACATTTGTTTATGTGTTAGTTTCTCTGTCTAGCCCAGAAGTTCTCAACTATTTGTGGTCACTACCCAATGTGCTTTCCCCTCCCCCATGGGACATTCCCCTGGTCATGCCCAGTTAAGCTGGAGTCCAGGTGCCAGCTTTTAACTTCAGGCCATCCGCTCTTATTTAGGAAAGCACATTGGGTCATGAGAGGGTTAAAATGATAGATTGTAATGATAACTATGCTACTTTGATAAATTGTTTCCTGGGACATAAAACATTTTAGTAGAGAAGGCATCTTCAATCTGGAGTATGTGGGATGATTCATTAGGATGTAAGAAGAAAATATTAAATGTTCTACTTATATGCATTTTTTAAATCTAAAAATAAGTTAGCCTTCCTAATATTTTATTCGTGGATGGAATAAAATTCCATCACTAGTGGAATTAGTGCCCTCACTAATGTGTCACATGTCACATACTGTATGGGCAGTCTCCTGAGAGTTGACAGGGTAGAGCCAGCACAGAGGGGTTGAAAGGGCCCTTTGCTCACTTGTTCACTTCTAATGTGCTGTCATGATTGTCCTCTAAAGTTGTGGAGTTAGCAAGTAACAAAACCAGATTTTGAAATCTGCCTGACAACAGGTTGTCAGATAAATTAAAGCAAAGTTCTTGACAGTAAGGACTCTTCATAGCCCCACTGTGAGATAAAAATAATGACAATCTAATTGGATCTGACAAGAAACAACATTGAAATGATCAAGAAGTCTATATCAAATATGGATTTATATGTACCTCTTCTAGTAATAACCCCACCCCCAGATGCAGGTGGCACATTTGGATATAAGCTAATGATATGAAACCATATGGATTAGCAAGACATTTAAAAATTAGGCATTCAGGCCGGGCACGGTGGCTCACGCCTGTAGTCCCAGCACTTTGGGAGGTCAAGGCAGGTGGATCACGAGGTCAGGAGTCTGAGACCAGCCTGGCCAATTTGGTGAAACCCCATCTCTACTAAAAATACCAAAATTAGCTAGGCGTGGTGGCACGCGCCTGTAGTCCCAGCTACTCGGGAGGCTGAGGCAGGAGAATCGCTTCAACCCAGGAGGCAGAAGTTACAATGAGACGAGATTGCACCACTGCACTCCAGCCTGGGCAACAGAGTGAGACTCTGTCTCAGAAAACAAAGAAAAACAACAAAAAAACTAAGCATTCAGTCCATAGTGACAAACTTTTACACTCTTTTTCTTTTTTTTTTTCCAAATGGAGTCCTGCTCTGTCACCCAGGCTGGAGTGCAGTGGTGTGATCTTGGCTCACTGTAACCTCTGCCTCCCAGGTTCAAACGATTCTCCTGCCTCAGCCTCCCAAGTAGCTGGGATTACAGGTGCCTACCACCAAGCCTGGCTAATTTTTTTGTAAATCTAGTAGAGATAGGCTTTCACCATGTTGGCCAGGCTGGTCTCGGACTCCTGACCTCAGGTGATCTGCCTGCCTCGGCCTCCCAAAGTGCTGGGATTACAGGTGTGACCCACTGTGCCCAGGGTCACTCTTTAAAAGCAATGTTTGAAATAATAGTGTTCTGAATTCAACACCTCTCAAAACTTCACTAAACTTAATGATAAATATTTACAGATTTTCTTCTGCCTCTTTTTTTTTTTTGGTTTCTTACTAGCAAAGAGCCACGTGCCATAAATGACTAAAATAAAACAAGGGAACTCACACAACAACGAAAAGAATAGGTAATTCTCTGCACATACAGTTGGAAGATGGATAGAAAACATTGCTAAGAGTTAGAACAAATTATGAAGACTTGGGCAACTGGGTACAATATAGATTTTTTAAAAAAACACGTCTTAGCCTATTTATGAGATTGTTTCAGTTATGAAATATACATAGTTGCTGTGTGTGTATATGTACCATAGAAAGAAAAATGTACCAGTGAAGATATTCTCAACAGAAAATTACTTCTTTAGTAAAAATAATGTTTTGGAAAGAACCGTGGACGTGTCCTTACTAATAAGTTACTGCTTTGACTAGAATAAAAAGATTACTGGGTAAAAATACATACAATAGTACCATAAATGAAATTCTTTCACTGTATCACTTCCTGGTGACTTGTGGCAGCAAATCCAGAAGTACACAATCTGTGATAGTATACCATCAATGTGCTATTTGTTATAAATGCAAGACTTACAAGTATAGAGTTCTTGTTTGGTAATGAGATGGAGAGTCACCATAAAAGTATGTTGGTAATGTGCTTAACAGCTGTCAAGCTTGAAGGTGAATTCTGCATTTTAAATCAATAGACAACTATTCAAACTTGCTGAACTGTTCTGTGATGACAATTGGTTGTCAGTAATATATTACCTAACGTTTTAGAAAAAATAAACTGACTGCATAGTAAAAGGAGAGGAAATAATTGTTTTTTGAAAGAAACATGCAGTGTGGGACGTGGTAATTTCTTTAAAAGGTCAGGGGAAAGTTGACTTTTGAAAATGAATGTTTGGAAATGTTGCCACTATTAAGTGATGCTATAGCTAAAAATGAGCTCCAAGTATATCATGTCTCGTATCTATGTACATTAAAAAAGTCTGGAAGTAGACTTTTTAAACTCTCTCTAAAAATTTCAAAATCAAGAGTATCAGTGGGGTTTGAACTCATTTGCAAAAAATGGAACAGCTTCTCTTCCAGAGAAAGAATACAAATAAAAAAAAACCCACCCCCAAAATATAACTATTAAAATAAATTAAATAAAAAGAACACCTTTCAATTATGTTGCCATCCTCCTTAAAAATGATTGACATAAGCCAGGCGTGGTGGCTCATGCCTGTAATCCTAACACTTTGGGAGGCTGAGGCAGGTGGATCACGAGGTCAGGAGTTTGAGACCAGCCTGGCTAGTATGGTGACACCTTGTCACTACTAAAAATACAAAAAATTAGCCGGGTGTGGTGGTGTGTGCCTGTAATCCCAGGTACTTGGGAGGCTGAGGCAGGAGAATCGCTTGAACCCAGGAGGCAGAGGTTGCAGTGAGCAGAGGTTGCACCACTGCACTCCAGCCTGGGTGACAGAGCAAGACTCCGTCTTGGCGGAGGGGAAAAAAGATTGACATCAGGGAGAAGGGTAGTTTATTGGTGACATTTTAACAGAAATCTTTCTATAGTTGAATGAGAATCATTATTCATTTAATACAACCAACAAGAGGCATCTTCCATTTGGAGTTACCCATCTTTGTAAGGAACCTCACAAGTAGAACTAATCTTACAAGTAAAACTAACGATGTTTTAAATCAAGATTTTAAAAATAGTGAAACATTCAGTCAAAATACTTGCCCTTAACATATTACTGTTTTAGCAAGAGCAAAATGCTTACTTCATCTTAATCTTGTTCTTTACAAATTTTTAATTGATGACTGTTTTGTCATTTATATAGTATGTAAATTATATGTGTATGTAGTAATACCTATATACAGTGAACCCTCCATATTTATGGGTTCTGCATCTGTAGATTCAATCAGTCTTGAATTGAAAATATTTGGAAAAGAAATTGTGTCTGTACTGAACATGAAGAGACTTTTTCCTTGTCATTATTTTCTAAACAATACAGTATAACAACATTTACATAACATATTGTATTGGGTATTATAAGTAATCTAGAGGTGATTTAAAGTATATAGGAGGCCAGGTGCAGTGGCTCATACCTGTAATCCTAGCACTTTGGGAGGCTGAGGCAGGTGTTTCACTTGAGGTCAGGAGTTCGAGACCAGCCTGGCCAACATGGTTAAACCCATCTCTACTAAAACTACAAAAATTAGCCAGGTGTGGTGCTGTGCGCCTGTAATCCCAGTAAATCCCAGCTACTCAGGAGGCTGAGGCAGGAGAATTGGTTGAACCTGGGAGCTGAGGTTGTGCCATTGCACTCTAGCCTAGGCGACAAGAGTGAAGACTCCATCTCAAAAAAGAAAAAAAAGTATACAGGATGATGTGCATAGGTTATATGCAAATACTATGCTATTTTACATCAGGGACTTGAGCAGCTGTGAATTTTGGTACCCACAGAGGATCCTAGAATGAATCCCCATGGGTATGGAGGGACAACTGTGTCTAAAACTTATAAATAAGTCTCTATGTTGATGTGCATGTGCTAATATTTTTTGTGGGTGCAGGTACATTGTCAAAGTGGTGATCCCTGCAGCAGACTGTGAAAGCTTGGAGGCAGTTCCGTGCCTTCCTCATCCAGGTTTCCTCATGGCCTGCACGGGACACATCAGGAGGCTCAGCCGTGTTGGCTGAGTGGCTGACGGAAGGAATGGAGATGTATAGGGGAAAAGGTATTCCTGGCATAGGAACAACAGAAATATCAATTTGGGGTGGGGGAAATACTGAATAAATCATTTGGCAGAACAACAAAAGCAATCAAAAATATGAAAATGGAAGAGGCATGTATGACTAACGCTAATAATATCTAAACTTATTGAGGGCTGATTATGAGTCAGGCAGTGCTCTGGGCTCTACACTCATGACCACCCCAAATTCTCGCACCAGCCTTGTGAGGTAGAAATCAGCCTTAGGATGCCAGTGGGGTTGATTTCACAGGCACCTGTGGTGCATTCTGGAAGGAAGGCTGCCCTGGGGACAATTTGGGAAATTGTGTTTGTCTCCCTAGGGGATTTCAGACCCAAAGAGAATCCTGATCATGTGCCCTGCTGTGTAAAATGAGTTGCAGAATTAGAACCGGAAAAGAAAGGTCGTAATTGAGCCTCCATATATAATGACGTTATCATCGATCCTCTGGTCACAGGAAACATGCTCTGAGCAGTTTTCCCAGCAAGTGGAAAAAACCAAGTTGCCCTGCAGGCATCCTGGCCTCTGCCATGGGGCCATACCACCTTCCTCTCTAGGTGGTTGAGACCTCTTGGCCTCCTCCCTTTTTCTGCCCACAGAGAGAGGACAGAGGTGCTGTCATGGCCTGTCACTCCAGCTTTTGAAGAGCACAGAGAATCAAAGGGTTTAGGCAGGGCCAGCGTTGTGGGTGTGTGACCCATGAGTCACACAGGGACTCATATTCAGAAGGGCCTCATGCTTGGTTTAATGCTCTGCTGTTGCTGTCTTAAAATTAATCATTTTTCAACAAGGGGCCCTATATTTTAACTTCGCACTAGACCCCACAAATTCCACCACCGGTCCTCGGTCTGGGTCAGGATGGGGTAGTCCTGACAGGGGCTGGCTTGGGGGACTTGCTTCAGCTGGTAGCAGACCTCAGGCCCATTGCCACGTTTGAAATCAAGTCTAGAAATGAATTTAACCTCAGACCAGACTGAATATTTGTGTTACAAAGTCCCCTGGCAGAAGTGGCAGAGAAGGCATTTGCCTCCCAGGGTGATTTGGGGCTTGGGGGGTGGTTGGGAGCCTGCCCTTCCTGTCTTCCTGGATGCTGAGATGTTCCTGAAGTTGAGGGCCCACCCAAGATGCTCGCACTTGGAGGCTGTACCATCAGGTGCTTTCATTGGCTTTTTGGGACATTAGTGAAGACAGACAACTCAGAATAGAATTTTTAACAATGCTCAAAAGAGCAGTCAAAGGCAGGCTGTGTGGGTGCTGTGCCCACCCTGGAGTGTGGGATCCACAGTTGCAGCCTTAGTTGTTCCACTCAACAGAGGGACCTCCCTGTAGGCAGTAGCATAAGGCCAATACTTTTCTTCCAGGCTTTGGATGAAAATATCTGGAGAACCAGGGTGGGTGATGTGTGGTGGAGCATGGTGGGGAGGGGCGGGGGTTGGCAGGTCTAATGGACACACTTCCAGCCCAGGCTTGCACACGAGGAATGAGAATAACCACAGCTTCACTTATCAAGCACCTGCTCTATGCCAGACCCTTTCACACACTTTCTCATTTAATCCACAGACAGCCTTTTATCCCATTTTGTTACAGTTGAAGAAATAGGGTCATTCCTAACTACTCAGGATTAGAATCCTTTTCTCACTCCCATCTTATCCCCTACTCCCTGGGGAGTGCGGATTCTTCAGTCATTGAGGTTGATTGTATTTCAGATCTTAATTGATCATAAAAATAAAATTCAAATGACTAAAACATGGGAATATTTAGGGGATTCCTTAATTTCCTCTCCTTTTCATCCTCCTCACTTCCTTTTCTGTGTCTACTCCCCTGAGCACTGTTTGAAATTGTTCTGACAGCAGCATACTTCTTGCTGGGTGACGTAGCCAGGGTCCAATAGTAGTAGACTCTAGGCCTCTCCAAGACAGCAGACAGGCCCTTGCTATGTCACAGTGCCAGTTGCCAGAACAGTGGATTGAGCTTAGAGTGACTTGTTCAGTGTCTTCTGAGCATTGCACGAAGATGGGAGTGGTGGTAGTGGAACAATTGAGTGTCATGCTTTTGCTAAGCCCTGGCAAGCTGAAATGCTTTTGCTAATAGACACAAAACTGGATAATGTGCTATAGGGGCATAAAACCATAACCTTGAGGTTATCTTTTTTGCCGGTCAGAAATCCACAAGTCAACATAATTTCGTAGCGTTAAGCTCTAATTAAATAGTAATAAATGACAAAGTCAAACATAGGTACGGTCTAGATAACTAAATATTTCTTAGAATATTGTTAAATAACATTGACAGGACATGTGGTCACTTATTTCTAAGTTTGAGGTACATTTTCTTAATGATATAGTCGCCCCTCCTTATCCACGATTTTGCTTTCTGTGGTTTCAGTTCCTCAAGGTCAGAAAGTCAATAGTAGCCTAACCTCATTCCCCTCACTTCATCTCATCCCGTAGTCATGGTACCATCTCACACCAACATCAAAACAAGAAGGGTGAGTAGGCAAGACAGACCACATTCACATAATTTTTATTGTATATCATAATTCTTTTATTGTTGTTCATCTCACTTTAAGTTACAAATTAAACCTTATCATAGGTATGAATGTATAGGAAAAAGCATAGTATATATAGGGTTCACCACTATCCATGGTTTCAGGCATCCACTGAGCCACGGGATTCTTAGAATGTATCCCCTAATAGGCCAGCCATGGTGGCCTGTTACACCTATAATCCCAGCACTTTGGGACGCGAAGGCTGGTGGATCACCTGAACTCAGGAGTTCAAAACCAGCTTGGGCAGCATGTTGAAACCCTGTCTCTACAAAAAATAGAAAAATTAGCCAGGCGTGGTGGTGTGCGCCTGTAGTCTCAACTCCTTGGGAGGCTGAGGCAGGAGGATCGCTTGAGCCTGGGAGGTGGAGACTACAGTGAACTGAGATTGTGCCACTGCGCTCCAGCCTGGGCAACAGAGCGAGACTCTGTCTCAAAAAAGAAAAAACAAAAGAATGTATCACCCACTAATAAGCGGGGGAACCACTGTACTGTACTTTGCTTATCTTACAAGTTTGTGGTATGGATCAAATGAGAACATATTAAAATGTTTTGTAAACTGTAAGGTGCCAAGTATATTTTAATTATTGCGATTATTTTACAAAGCCCCTGAATCATATTGTATTGGAATTAATACTGATATAGAAAGGAGAGAGAGAGAGAGAGCTAATTATTGAATACCTATTTTTTGAGTATTGTTTTTATCTCATTTAATTCTTACAAAAAGACTGAAAAGATACAGGACATGCTTCATTTTCTCTGTAAGGATTATAATAGCACCTACTTCAAGGGGCTATTGTGAGAATTAATAAAAAATACAGACTTACTGCTAAAAACAGTACCGGGTATACAGTAAACACACAAATGTTGGTTCACTAAGGGCCCAGCCTGCTATTTGAACACATTTACTGAAGTTTATTTTTCTCTAATAACAATGTATTTCATTTCTGGAAGTTTTATCTGGTTCTTAGTTCTTTCACAAATCTGCCTTTATTTTTAAAAAATAACATGGTGTTCTTGCCTCATGTTTTAAATTCCTTTTGTCTTTTATCTTTCTAAACATACATAGTCTTTTTTTCAGTGCTGCTGTTATATAAAATATGTGGATCTAATCTTGCTAGTTGTTACATTTGATTCTCACAGGGATTGTTTTTCCTAATTAAATGATTTATTAGCTGCTAGAACAAGGGTATTCAATCTTTTGGCTTTTCTGGGACACATTGGAAGAATTGTCTTGGGCCACACATAAAATACACTAACACTAAACTAACTAACACTAAAGATAGGGGATGAGCTAAAAAAGAAAATCACACACACACACACACACACAAATCTCATAATGTTTTAAGAAAATTTACAAATTTGTGTTGGGTGGCATTCAAAACCATCCTGGGACGCATGCGGGCTGTGGGTTGGACAAGCTTGTGCTATAATGTCACACATACACTAGCAAAAGAAATCTTAGTCCCCATAATGTTTTAAATCATAGATTATTGCTGGGCACGGTGGATCACCCCTGTAATCCTAGCACTTTGGAAGGCCAAGGTGGGCGGATCACCTGAGGTGAGGAGTTTGAGACCAGCCTGGCCAACATGGCAAAACGCTGTATCTACTAAAAATAGAAAAATTAGCTGGGCAAGGTGGCGCATGCCTGTAATCCCAGCTACTCAGGAGGCTGAGGCAGGAGAATCGCTTGAACCCGGGAGGCAGAGGTTGCGGTGAGCCGAGATCGTACCACTGCACTCCAGTCTGGGCTACAGAGCGAGACTCCATCTCAAAAAAAAAAAAAAAAAATCATAGATTATTAACTAGAGATAGTTGAGTTTTTCAGACCAGTTGAAAGCAGAGGAACAATGGTGCCATCAGACATTCTAGATCTTTATTTTATACCACATTTATTTGCAATTTGGCCCAATTCACTGCTGGAACCAGTGGCGGTTTTATTTTTCTGGGTTACCCCCCCTACTCTGGGCTCCAGTATTCATTTGGACAAATGTCGCATTATGTAATCAAAGTATAACTCTGGGCCAGTTACTTCTTCCCTGAGTCTTGGTTTCCTTCTCTGTAGAAAGGGAATGGTAATAGGGATGTGTGAAGTTTCATTATTGTGCCCCATGGTGCCCACCACAGCACAAGCACTTTATGTCAACTTTTATTAGCATTTTCTTTGTGCAAATCTTTTCTCACTAACATTTATATTCCCTAGTCAAGTGTAGCCTGATGTTACAACCATCACAACAATGTAATCGCTATCAACTCCTCATCCTTTCCATCATGTCCTCTAACCCATATCTGGCTCATCCATCCTCATTTTTCCTGGTCCCCATATTCACCATGCTCATCTCTCCATCTGCATGGAGTTTTCCCAGTCTCGACAACCTCATTGCTTTTGGTAACCATTCTCCATCTTTTCAGAGCTCAAAGTTCCATGTCCTTTAGGAAGACTTGGACCAGGTTTAAGTCACAGGAATCTATCTTTTCTGAATTCAGAAGCCTCCATGGGGAGTGCCATGGACTGTGGCTTCCTCAGGTATTTGGTGGCTTTGCTCATGGTGTGGCTGTGGGTGCCGTTCTAGCTAGACTGGACATTTTCCTACAGAAAAACCCCATGGCGCACAGCCAGTGTATGTATGTAATACCACCAATTTCAAGTGGGTGCTTCTCACGTATTTTTAATTTTTGGCTTCTTAGCACATACTTGCTGGGAATTTGGTGACTGGTTTGTGGCTGTGTCCGTGTCGCTCCAGACAGGATTTCTTTGTTTTGCCAAGTGTTCCTTGGTGAACCAGCTGGGACCATTTGTTGATGTTTTAGTCTGGATTACTCTGGCAGTGTGGATTCCAACACCCTCCCTCCCCAAGCCCTAATGAGGGGAGCCTGTGGTTATGAATCCATGCTGCTTTGAGGTAGGAGCTGCGGGAAGAATAGAAACTTGCAGGAAAAAAAAAGGGTGGGGTGGGGGGAGGGGCGGTGAAGCGAACTCCTTGACTTCCTATGTTACCTTTGTCGTTATACTGTCTCAAACCAGGAGTGTAAGGGTTACCTTTGTCGTTACACTGTCTTAAGCCGGGAGCATAAGCTGGGATGTGTGACTTGGTCACCACGTTTTCCAGTCTATAGGAAAAAGCAGGGGAATGCATGCTGTTCCCATTGTATAGAAACAGACACTGAAGCCCAGAAGAACACGGAACTGGGTATAGGTCCTCCGGGTTCTCTGTTGTGACAGAAAGAGATAAGGTGATGAACCTCCCTGAGAGGAAGGCGGGCACTCTCCACCCATATGTTATTACCCCATTTCCCCAAACTCATCTCTGGGTCTCACATCTTCCCCAACAGTCTGGGCCTTATCCCAACTCTTCACCGAGGAAAAAGGCCATTTTCAGTTGTGCAGCATTTTAGAGTTAGAGGTTCACACACGGTTCCTTATTTTTCAGCAGCGCCGTGAGATAAGCAAAATGTGTACTCTTACTCCAGTTTTTACAGATGCAGAGCCTGGGACACTGGGCTCAGGCTGGCGAAGGCAGCTTCAGGGCACAGCATTTCAGTGTTGCATCCGGGATTGTGACTCAGGCTCTTTATCATCCCGGACTTCAGGATCAGAGAGAGGTTTACAATGCAGATGATGTCTACCTCCCTGGATTCTTTTTTATTGAAGTGAAATTCACATGATACACAATTAATCATTTTAAATGGAACAATTTGCGGCGTTTAGTACATTCACGGTGTTGCGCAAGCATCACTTCTATTTTCAAAGATTTTCCCTTTACCCCCTCCCTGGGCTTTTGTGCAGCATAAAAGAGACCATCTGTGGAAGGCCTCCAGCACGGGGCCTCGCCCCTAGCAGGGGCTCAGTGAATGCAGCCCATATTTTCAGACTCTCTCTAGTTTTCCCTCAGAAACCTGGGCATATAGAAATAGGAATTTTTTCCTAAATTTAGCACCTTGAGAAAATCAGGTTGAGAATATAGGAGGTATTTGTGTCCCAATCATTTTTTATTCCTTTTCCCAAAATGACATGTGAAGGTTGCTCTCCCCCAAGAAACTTTCCCCGAAGAACCCTTTCTATTCTTTAAAACAATCAGACACATTTACCTACTGATGCCCTAGTAGTTACACATCATCACGTGGCTTCTTGGTTATTGAAGGAGTTTGACCTCTCTGCCAGGCTGCGACATGCACAGCCTAGGAGGCACCTCAGTGCTTCGCATTGTCCTGGATACAAAACAGTTGCTTAATAGGTATGTGTTGGATTGGACTGAATGGCAACCAGCCAGCTCCAAAATTCCAGCCACCACCTGGTGACCAGCATTTTTTCTGCCTTTGAAATAGTGGGTTTGGTGACTTGAGGATATGCTCGTGGTGGCAGGCAGTTTGGGCTCTGGTTGGTCGTGGCTTGGGCAGCCCTGCTGGAGGCAGGCCACAAAAAGTGGCAGCTCCCACACCTGGGCTGCACAAGAGATGGAAGGTGAGTGCTTCACGCAGGCAAACCCAGGAATAAAATAGCTTTGGACTTTATTTAAATGTATCCATTCCAGGAGCATAGGCCTGGAAGAAGCCCAGGCCCCAAGAAGTTGTGACTGTCCCCTGGGCTTCCTATGGCACCAGGCATTGAAGCATGTCCTGGTGGCCGGGAGTGGCTGGGGCAGAGGGCGGTGAAGAGAGTGGCTATAGGGAGTTTAGGGTGAGGACCCACCCCCGGGCCTAGAGGGCCACAGTGCGCAGGCTCATTGGAGGATCTTCCCTCCGGCCACCTCTCCTGCACCTCCAGACCACTGTCCCGATGATGCCCACCACAAGGCCGACTCCCGCTGCCACTGGGACAGCCCAGTAGAGCACCTCGGGGGCTTCTTCAGCCTGGTCTGGGAGCAATCGGCTGTTCCGCAGGGTGTAGAGGTAAGGGCTCTCCTGTGGAGGAGGAGCGGGGGTCAGTGGAAAGGATCTCCGTGAACCATCCATCACCAAGCCAAGACTTGCCTAGTCCCCATTCCTGAGATGCTGCGATAACCCTGCACGTTTTCACAGAGCTTCCCTTTTGTAAAGCTCCCTCATTTAGGCTGTGCCCAAACCCTCTTTAGCGGGATGGGCCTCTAAAGAGGTCAACACCCAGCTAGAACCTTCTTTTGGTTTCTCACCAGCGTTTCCTTGGCCATCAAACCTGATTTTGAAAGATTGGGAACTGATAGGTGACCAATGGCAGAGAGCCCTGTGGGGCCTGTAGAACTCCCACCTCTGCTTCCTCGTGGTCACAACTGTCCCCATTCTCCCATCCCAGGACTACCCAGAAATCAGGGAAGGGCAGCATGGAAGGACAGCTGGTTTTGTAGTAGATGAAAGATCCCCAAATCAGAAGGGCCGGGAGGGGAGGCATGTGGGCAGATCGTGTGCGTTCTTGCCTTCCTATGCCCCTCTCCACTCTCCTCTCAGTGAATGTGAATTGGGCACGTGCTGTGTTTAGCCCCCTTGCTGGAAGCTGTGATGAGACTGGAGGGTTAAGATGTGACATCTTTTCTTGTGGCCCAGGAGGAAGTTGAGATGTGCAGAAACAATCACATCATAAAGGAGACTGGGTCGGTGTCTCATGAGAGGTACAAATAGAAAAGGAGACCCACATGGGTCAGTGTCTGGAGACAGGAATGGTAGGTAAGAGACGGTGAAACCATCGCTTAGTAAAGGCAACATCTGGACCTGGAGGGAGGCGGATGTTCTCATAGCAGATGGAAGATGAACCTCCAGGAACAGATGGCAAAAGGAAAGGCCTGGATGCGGGCAGTCGTGGGGCTTCCTGGGAGATGGATCCACCGGCCAGGAGTGCAGTGTGTATCATGGAGGGAGGTGACCCTCCCTCCAGACTCTGGTCAATGGGCAGTAGGGATCAGGCAAGGATTTCAAGCAGCCTTGATGGGGCAAGTTATTTCCAGGAAGGTCTATCTGTGTCTGGCAGCAAGTGTAGGGTGGATGGAGAAGAGGGAGAGGAGAGCTGGGGAGACAAGTCACAGGCTTCGAAGGTGGGCCAGGCAAGGGCAGTGGGTGTGGCGAGGGAGGAAGACCATTGCAGGCTCCAGGAACAGACACTGAGTCTATTTTATCTTTGCCTCCCGATCCCCAGATCCTAGTATACTGCCTGGCACGGGACAGCTGCTTGATGCACTTTATTTTTGAGACAGTCTCACTCTGTCACTCAGTCTGGAGTGCAGTGGCATGACCTCAGCTCACTGCAACCTCTGCCTCCCGGGTTCAAGTGATTCTCCTGCCTCAGCCTCCTGAGTAGCTGGGATGACAGGCGCCCGCCACCATGCCCGGCTGACTTTTGGATTTTTACTAGAGACGGGGTTTCACTATGTTGGCCAGGCTGGTCTTGTACTCCAGACCTCAGGTGATCTGACCGCCTCGGCCTCCCAAAGTGCTGGGATTATAGGCGTGAGCCACCACGCCTGGCCTTGGTGCACTTTTAAGACTGAGGATGCATCAGAGCTTTCGGAAGGAATGGGTGACCCGAGACACCCGCCAGTGCTCATCTGCCTCCCTGAGCGACTGTCCTCCCTTCGGTTGGAGCTGTTGAACGTCCTCTCCCCTCCCTCCATGGCTGCCCACACACTGAGAAGTTTCCGTGGCACTGGGGACAGGTGGGATTTGAGAAGACGGCAGTGAGTGAAGCCGCATTTGAGGGAGCATCCCCGGGGACTCCTCTGTGCTTCCAGGGGACAGGACAACCCCCACCCCAGGCATCTGTTCCACCTGGGGCAGGCAGGACGTTTACTCACAGGAGAGGGGCACTTGAGTTTGGCTCGGCTGTGGGTGAAGTTGTTGGAGGTAGTCTTGCGGCCCACTGGTTCCAGCTGGAGAGAGAGAAAGGACACCTCGATTCTCTCCAAAGCTGGGAGACACTTTCCTCTCTGAGGGGGTGTCTCACACCAGAGCCCCTCCCTCGGGAACGGGGTGGGGGATAGAAACCAGCGAAGTGGCTGGTTTTTGGCCCACAGCAGGGACCCAGCAGCCTGGGGCTGAGCGGGAGTTGACTTATGACACACAGAAGGCTAGGCAGCATCTGTCGGCAGGGCAGAACCCTGAGTCTGTGCCCCTGGATTTGCCGGGTACAGCAAGGCCCAGGAGAGACCACCAGTCCTGAGTCCACAGGAAGTCTGCGGAGGGGCTGGGACCATCTCTGGCTTCCTTTGTGAGTGGCTGTGATTGCAAGACACCGTGTTTTCAATTTTATAAAACGACGACAATCCTATTTACCAACTTCTCAAAGTGCATGGGGCTAGTCAACCTTAGGAAAGTTTGGAAACATATTGGTTACCATGACATCATTACTGCACTTGACTTGTCAACCTTAGGAAATCGGAGTTTCTCACTTGCGCCACTTTGTATGTTTTCCACATAGATGAAAAGATTTATCTGAAATATCCCTGGGTGTAAATACCTTTGATCCCAGGACCCTCTGAGGATGAGCTGGGAGCTGCTGTATCCCCCTCCCCGGCACCTTTTAGCCAGCAGCCAGGCCCAACCTGTGGCCAGCACTGAGAAGAATGAGCCCCTGGCACTGTCACCTATTCAGAGTCTGTTTGGAACGTCTAGCCTCCACTCTTTGTGTAATCTGCCTGCTCCTGACCACAGGGTATTGCCAGGGAGGGAGGTGAAAGTTCACTATCTGAGCTCATGACCACACCTGGCCCATGATCTCACTTTCTGTTGTCTGAAGGCCTTTTACACCCGTTCCTTAGTAACACAATTGGAGGAGGGAGGGCAGTTCTGTTCCTGGGAGAGATGCTAGGGTGACTAGACTGAGCACGATGGGCAGATGGCTGGGATCCAGGCTCTGCTGGTAACGAGCTGTGCAGTGCTGGGCTGGCTACTTCTCTGAGGTTAGGGACAGGCATGACATCCTGTCCTGACACCTTGGTTTGTTGTGAGCATCAAATGAGAAGATGGCATGAAAGCACGTGTGATTGGGGTGGCTTACATACATAAGGTAGTATTATTTCCACTTTCTTAAGAACTGAGGAAACTCAAGTCTATCGTAACAGTGACAGAATAAATGCTAAAGGTCAGCGCGGCTGATTCCCGATGCTATTCCAGGAACCCAGAACTAATTCACACAGAAGATGATCGTGATTACAAGGGTTTGATGAGTGCATCAGTTTCTCCCTTTCTACTGGTTCCTTCTCGTCAGTACACAACCTGCTCCGACATCTCCCCTCCTTCACCTGCCCTTTCTTTGATCCATGTCCCCTCCAGTGACCGTGGCTGTTACTTCTCATAACTTCTGGGAAGAGCTGTCTATAGGTGCTGGCAGCACTTCCTAATCTCTCCTTCTCTCTGCTGCTCGCTCCAGCCAGTCTGCAGTCTCCATCGCTGGATGGAAGCTCTGGCCCTGGCCACCAACGATCGCCATATGGGCAGAGCCAAAGATCATTTTTTTTTTTTTTTGTCTTCAACTTGCTTGGCTTCTCAGAAGCATCCATCAAAGTTGACAGCTCTGTCTCTCTTGAAACACTGACTTCTCTTAGCTCTCTGGACACAGCATTGTTTCTCATTTCCCATCTACCTCCACACTCTCCTTCTCATCTCTCACTGGAGTTGAAAGCTGGAATGAATGCCCAGGGCTAGGTAGTTGGCCTTACACTCTTTTCTACCTACCTATTCTTTCTCTAGGAGCTCTTAGTTGATCCTGTAGTGGCTTTTTTTTTTTTTTTAGATGGAATCTTGCCCTGTCACCCAGGCTGGAGTGCAATGGCACGATCTCAGCTTACTGCAACCTCCACCCCATCTCTGGGTTCAAGCAATTCTCCTGCCTCAGCCTCCCTGAGTAGCTGGGATTACAGGTGCATGCCACCACGCCTGGATAATTTTTGTATTTTCAGTAGAGACAGGGTTTCACCATATTGGCCCTCTATGCTAATAACCCCACTTTTTTTTTTTTTTTTTTTTTTTTCAATCTCCAGCCTTGACTTCCTCTGTGAGTTCCAAACTTCTGTATCCTGATACCTCTATGTGGATGTCTGGAAGGCAGTTTGCACCATGTCCAAAACAGAAGTCTTGATTTTTTTTCCTCCCACGCTGATTTTTTCTCTACCTGCTCAATCATCCACCCAGTTTCTTAGACCCCAAACCAAAAAGTCATCCTTTGTTCCTCTTCCCCATCATCCATCCGCCAGCCCACGACAGCGTCTCTCCTCCTCTGCCCTGACCCTACTCTCAGCCCCCTTCCTCTCTCACCCATCAACAGCAGCCTCCTAGTGGTCTTTCCAGGTCCACCCTTGCTTTCTTCCAGTCCAGGGTACACGGACCCAGGGGTAAGCCAGAGCATATCACTCTACTGCTTAGAAGCATCTAGGGACCTGGCCCCTGCCCAACTTTTTCACCTTGTTCACTTCCCTCTGGTCACATTGGCCTTTAAGTTCCTCAGACACTTCAAGCTCATTCCTGACTCTAGGCCCATGTGGGTCCTATTTCCTCTGCCTGGCAACCCCTTGACATGCGCTTCTCAATTCACTGTCACTTCTTCAGGGAGGCCTCCCTCTCCCCCACCATTACTCTGTATCACATCACTCTGCTTGACTTTTTCTTAAACCACAGATGTGGTCAGAAATGACCTTGTTGATTATCTGTCTTTTCCCTACTATCCTGTATGTCCCATGAGAGTAGCAGTCATCTTTTCACTGCTGAGTCCTCAGCACCTGGAGCAGTACCTAGCACATATTAGTGCTCAGTAAATACTTGTTTGATGGATGGATGAATTAATTAAATTCACAGAGACCTGAATGGAGAAGCTTGGCGGGGGAAGGCTTGGAGCTGGCCACAGGGAATGAAATTGTTTTTCCTAGAACCAGTCTTTCCTAAGCCAGGCACTGTGGCTACCAACCACGTAGCAAATGACAGGACTGGGCAGGGTGTAATGGACCTGGGTGGGCCACTGGCCTGTCCTGGAGATTCAGAGGTAGCTTCCTGCAGGAGGTGGCACCTGAGTTGAGTGGTGGAGTGGGCAAGGAGGTGAGAAGGGCAATCCAGGAGAAGGAGGAGAGCAAGAGTTAGCAGAGGTGTGTAACACCACAGGTGGTGCAGGACGCTGCTGGAGTCACTAGACTGTAACATGCGAGGCAGACGCTGGTGGAAATGGTAGCCAGAGAGGTTAATCAGGTGAACCAGGCCAAGTCCCAGAGGCCTAGTGTGCTGTGCTATGGGGCCTGGCCTGCCTCCTTCAGAGGTGGGAGGCTTTGGAAGTTTGAAAGCAGGGGAGTGACTGGGTCAGGTTTTCTTTTATACAGATTACTTGATTTCTCTGTGGGGACCAGATCTAAGGCAGCGGTTCATAAACCCTGCACATTAAAATAATCTCAGGAGCTTTCACAAAGTACCGAATCCAGCTCGCACTCCAGACCAATTAAGTCAGACTCTCTGGGGATAAGCCCGGTCAGGCACTGATATTGTTTTTCAAGTAAACTTTTTTTTTTTTTTTTTTTAAATTTGAGACAGAGTTTTACTCTTGTCACCCAGGCTGGAGTGCAATGATGCAATCTTGGCTCACTGCAACCCCTGCCTCCTGGTTTCAAGCGATTTTCCTGTCTCAGCCTCCCAAGTAGCTGGAATTATAGGCACGTGCCACCACGCTTGGCTAATTTTGTATTTTTAGTAGAGATGGGGTTTCACCATGTTGGCTAGGCTGGTATTGAACTCCTGACCTCAGGGGATCTGCCTGCCTCGGCCTCCCAAAGTGCTGGGATTACAGGTGTGAGCCACTGTACCCGGCCTCAAGTAAACTTTTAATTGAAGCTAACATACACATAGAAACGAGTACAAATCATAAGTGAGCAACAGATAAGTTTCGATAAAATGAACATACCAGCATCCAGTCAGGCAACAGACTATTATAGTCCTCAAAAGCCCCTTTCCACCTTCTTCCAGGACTATTCATCCCCCAGTGAGTCTCTACACCATCATGCTGACGTCTAACCCCATATGCCAAGCTGCTTGCTTTTGAACTTTATAGATATTATTGTATGTTGTTGAAGTTTGTTCAGCTGTCACTTCTTCAGTGAGGCCTCCCTCTTCCCAGCCATTACTCTGTGTCACATCACCCTGCTTGATTTTTGTTTAAAGCCACAGATGCGGTCAGACCTGTATGGTATTCCTTAGTATGAATGTGCCACAGTTTACTCACCCATCCTACTGTCAGTGGACATTTGGGGAGTTTCTAGTTTGGGGCTATTTATAAATAGTGCTGCTGTGAATATTTTTGTGTGTATCTTTTGGTAGACACATATATACCTTTCTTTTGGGGATATACCTAGGAGTGAAATCCTTGGATCACAGGAAATACATGTGTTCAGCATTATTAAATATACCAAAGAATTTTCCAAAGTGGCTGTAGGCACTAATTGTTTTAAAAGTCCCTGGATGGCCAAGCATTGTGGCTCACACCTATAATCCCAGCACTTTGGGAGGCCGAGGTGGGTGGATCTCCTGAGGTCAGGAGTTAAAGACCAGCCTGGCCTGGCCAACATGGCGAAACCTTGTCTCTACTAAAAATACAAAAATTAGCTGGTCATGGTGGCATGCACCTATAACCCCAGCTACTTGGGAGACTGAGGCAGGAGAATCGCTTGAATCCAGGAGACGGAGGTTGCAGTGAACTGAGATGGTGCCATTGCTCTCCAACCTGGGCAACAGAGTGAGACTCTGTCATACATACATACATACATACACACATACACATACATACACACACACACATACACACACATTCATACATACATACACATACATACACACATACACAATGTCCCTGAATGATTCTAATATGCAGCCAGAGCTGAGAGTCACGATTCTAAGAGCTCTAAGTCTGAAGACAGGGATGTCAGTTAGGAGGCTGGAGCTGTCACCCAGCACCTGGGGAGATACAAACACTGGCTGAGAGCAGGATTTCTGCAGAAGAGGGAGTAGAGGCAGCAGTAGAGGACTAGGCCTCGGGAAAGAGAAACTTCTTCAGATAAGAAGACAGAAGAAGGCAGAGGAAGAGGAAAATATCCCCTGGTGCTGCTGGAGCTTCTGGCTTTGCCTTTGCAAAAGTCTCGAGAAGGACGTGAGAGGAGGGGCAGGAGATGAAATAAGATGAAATAGTTTAAGGTGCTTTTTGCTTCCTAGTAGGGAACCCTGGGAACATCAGCCAAAGCCTGCAGACACTATGTCATAGGACTCTAATTGTGAGACATGAATTCACCGGGTATATATGTGCTTATCAGGTTGGGAGCAGTGGGGAGGGTGGTGGCATGCCCAGGTCACCAGGAAAGGACTAGAAAAACCTGGTCTGTAATCCCCCTTGTGCCATGAACAGTCTGTGTTATGTTGGGCAAACTGCTTCATGTTTCTATGCTTTAGTTACAGAATGTTCTGGCTAGATGACCTCTCAGTCTGTTCCAGCTCTAATGGTCTATTATTTATTTTTTGTTACTCTAGGGGTGAAATTCCAGCCAGAAGCCGATCTGAAAAGTTGGCATCATGCTACAGCTTTATGTCTAAGATTGGCTTTGGATGAAAACATTAGACTGTATAATTATTTCCCCAAATTATAGAGCCTAGGATAAGAAACCCCTGGATGGCTTTAGTTTTGTTTTTGTTATTTTGAAATTCGGGGTATGGCTGAGATAATAATGGCTGGGGAACCATGGACAGTCTTGTTTTGTTTCCACAATAGCTCCAGTGCGGTGTTTACGTTTTGTTTTCATATCTAAACTCCTCCCACTTATCTTTATGAAATAAAGGCCTCTTACCTGGGTGAATGGGAAGAGCTACTGAACTGCTTTAGAAGAGAAGGCCAGAGCTACATATATTTTTTTTTTCTATTTGTTTTTTGAGATAGGGTCTCACTCTATTGCCCAGGCTGGAGTGCGGTGGTGCCATCTCGGCTCATTGCAGCCTTGACCTCCCATGCTCAAGTGATCTTCTCACGTCAGCCTTCTGAGCAGCTGGGACTACAGGCATGCACCACCACACCTGGCTAATATTTTGATTATTTTTGTAGAGACAGAATCTCCCCTGTGTTGCCCAGGTTGGTGTCTAATTCCTGGGCTCAAGCGATCCACCTGCCTCGGCCTCCCAAAGTGCTGGGATTACAGGCATGAGCCACCGTGCCTGGCCAGAGCTACATTGTTAATTCACAAGAAAAGAAACCAATGGACTCTTTTTCATGTTCCAGCCGTCACTATGGCTATCCAGCCCCAGGAGATTCCTGGAGGGTCCCAGATTTAAGCAGACTTGGAGTGCCACCTGGTAGGAAGGCCATACCTTGATGAAAAAACTGGGAAGGAAGGGCCAAGGGCATCTGTGGAATCCCCTGAGGTCTCAGGGGAAAAGGAACAGGGAATAGGTACCCTTTCTTTGGGAAGATTTTTACAAAGGAATAAAGTCACATGATTCAGCCAGTGAAGGACAACCGCCTTCAAAACAAAATCCACAAAAGAAACAGGAATTATACCATATAAACTGATTTAAAAATCGTGGGGCAAACTCAAAGACATTTTGGTTACAATCCGGAGTCTTGGGCTGAAAGAGTACAATAGAAGTTCTTGGAGTGGGCAGGTACGTGATGTCCACAGGAGGAAAACCCCCTGACAATGGAAGTCGACATAAGCTGAGTCTGCCATTAACTAGGCCAAGGATAAAGCCAGTTTACATGCTGTTCTTAAAAGAAGAGGTTGCTAGAGAGGAGGAGATGGTATAGCTAAGGAGAAAGTCAATATTGTGAGTCAGCCGAGTGGGATGCTGGACATACTGGATGAGCTGACAGGGGTGGGAACGTTTGCACAGCGGTGGTTGGCAGAGACACTATGGGCCTGAAACTGTGATAAAAGGAGCTGGAATGTAGCTTGTTTAGTTGTCATAGGACAAAGGAGGGAACATACAGGTTGGGGTGGGGATTGTGTTACCCACTGAGCCTGGATTAAAAGAAACCATTGGGTTGGGAAGGCATTTCATTTGCTCCGTGCAAGAGGATCCAGTTGTTGGGGGTGACAGGTCAAGTGCTGTGCGGAAACCATTCAGTTGCTGGTGGCCAGCCACAGAAGGCAGAGTGGAAGCACCAGGCAGGTGTCCCTGAAAGACCCCCAGACTGTATGTTCATTTCATAAGGTCCCTTCTTCCCATCAGAAAGGACTGGAATAGGTATCAGCCTCGGAAAACAGGCTGTGTGGATCTCCACTTTTCGATGTTTAGAGAAATGAGTTGGGTATGAGTTGAGCCCGGAGTGCTTGGAAGGCTGATGGTGGTGACATTTGCTGAGTGCTAACTATTGTGCTAGGTGCCATGTACACATGATCTCAATGCGTTGTCTGAGACCTGTCTTGTTTTCACTGTTTTATAGATGTTGATACAGGTGGCCAGAGAGATCGTTTGCCCAAGGTCACACAGTACGAGGTAGAAGTTGGTATTTTCATCTAGCCAACCTATCTGATTACAAAGGGATCCCCTCGCAGTACCTGGGCATTGCTGAAGGAACAAAGAATAAAGTTGTGTGAGTGTGTGTTTGTATAACTTTCAAAGGGTGTTGGATAAATATAGGGTATTTTCCCTTTGGAATTAATCTATCAGGACCAATAAGGTGTGCTGCCACTTTGGGCTTTGGGGAGAAAGGAGCCATGTCTCCAGTAGTTTTGCCATTGTGAGACAGAGTGTCAATATCCTTAGATCCCCCCTTGACAAGGCCCACCAGGCCCTTGGCTGCTCACCATGTTGTTCCAGAGTGCGATGGCCATCTCGGCATGCCCGCGGTCTGAGAAGTGAAAACAGTCCTCGGAGAAGAAGGTGAGGTCAGTGTCCCCTCTCTGCAACCAACGGCAAGGAGGTTATCATCCTGGGAAAGGGCTCTGCTACCTGAGCCCCACTCACTCTCCCAGCAGGTGCCCTGGGCATGTCTCCTTTCATTCTTTCAACTTTCCTGCCAACTTGCTCAGATACTGATGGAAAAACTCCCAGAATTTAGAATTTCTTTTTTTCTTTTTTCTTTTTTTTTGAGACGGAGTTTCGCACTGTCAGCCAGGCTGGAGTGCAGTGGCATAATCTCAGCTCACTGCAACTTCTGCCTCCCGAGTACCTGGGATTACAGGTGCCTGCCATCACGCCCAGCTAACTTTTTGTATTTTTAGTAGAAACGGGGTTTCACCATGTTGGCCAGGCTGGTCTCAAACTCCTAACCTCGTGATTCAACCGCCTTGGCTTCCCAAAGGCTGAGATTACAGGCATGAGCCACTGCACCCGGCCGGAATTTTCTTTTTAAACAGACAAGAATTGGACCCACCCATAGTCTCTCCCTTTTCTTTCAGCACCCCTATCCTAAGAGTTGAAAAGAGTAACATTTTTAGGAAGCTTTCCATTCTATCCCAATCCAGAAAACATCAGGGCCAGGCCTGGGAGCTTAGTCACTATTGATTTCCTTTCAAAGTACATCTGAGTTCCAATCACAGCCCAGCCCCCACAAAAAGGAGGTAATGTGGAAAAAGCCACCCTCAGGAATCCTCTTGGAGAGAGATGGTTAAAAAAAAAAAAAGCCCACTTAGAGAAGGAAATACATCCATCGTCTGTGATAAGGCCCCCATACGTGAGCCTCCCTAAAATACCTGCAGCTCACCTCGTTCAGTGGGGTGAGTGTGTTTTGGAAGAAAGGCTGCACCACAACCGCAAAGTCCTCACGCTGTGTGTATTGGTGCCAGTAGGAGAAACTGGAGATGCCATGCTGGGGACAGAGAGAGAAGCTGCTCAACCCTCCTGGCAAGGCTGCACAGACAGGGTCCAGTCCTGCTGCCTTGGATTGGTTGTTGACGGGAGTCAACTCACCCTAAAGGACAGTGACTTTAAGGGGCTACTCTAGTGGGATGCAAACATACTTTTATTCTCCACCCATTCATGGGCACGGACATTTCAAAGCCCTATGCTGGTTCTCAGGATCAGAGATGAGTTGAACCCAGCGGCTCCTGGTGGGAGAAGCTCCCTAGCTACACAGCTCCACCCAGTCCCATTCCAAAGCCTCTGCCTGAAAGGCTGGGTCTGAGCCACTGACCAGATTGCATAGGCCAAAGTCCTCCCCTCCTCTCACTGCACGAAGAGGTCAATTAGAACATGGGGCTGCAGGTCAGATGGGGAGCATCTCAACACCAGCTCCCAAAATGCCCATGAACTTTGCGGGAGGAGAGTCCACGGTGGCTGGATTTAAGTACCCAAGCATGGAATGTAAAAGGAACAGACTAGATGTACTTATCTTCAAGGAGTTTATCATCCATCTGGAAAAATGAGCCAAGATGTGAAAACATGAGAACCCTTTGGGGCTTTTAGGGCCCATCAAGTACAGACTGAATGTGATATGGGGAGATGTCCGCGGGTGAAGTTCAGGCAGGGGAAGCTCCTTAGAGGAGGGAAGCAGACTTGCCTTGTGAATGAAGGAGGGTCAGTTTGCAGAATGGAAATGCTACCTGAGCCTGAGAGGGAACAATAGAGGCAGAGACATAAGCAGGAGTGGAGGTGGGGAGATGGAAGGGGGCAGAGAGAGGGCAAGGAGAATTTGAGGTAGAGTTAAGTAGGGCAGGGCTAAGCCTTTTTCTTTTTTTCTTTTTTTTTTTTTTGAGATAGGGTCTCACGCTGTTGTCTAGGCAGAGTACAATGGCATCATCATAGCTAACAGCAGCCTCCAACTCCTGGGCTCAAGCTGTCCTCCCATCTCAGCCTCCTGAGTAGCTGGGACACCAGACGTGAGCCATTGTGTCGGGCCTAAGCCTTTTGTTTTTAATGAAGGGAGGGGAGGAAGTGAGTAGTAATTATTACACATGGCTCTGGGTGGGGAATGGGCCCTACCACAAGGAGTCTACTCTGGGAATCTCTTGCTGCCTACCCGCTGGGAGAAGGGGATTTTCTCAGCTTCCACTTTGGGGTCTCTCACTCCCTTCCCTGGCCTTGGTGTTCAATTTGCAGGGGTAAGTATTTCAGGGGCTGCAATCTGCTTTTAGGGAGTGGCTTGCTCTTGGCCACATCCTGCTGGGCATTCGATTTCCCAGTCCTTGGAGTACAGGGGGCCCCCCAGCTGGGTCAGTAAGAGAAGGGCTGCAGGGCTTACCTGGAGGTTCCAGTTCACTTTCTTCAGTTCTTGCTTCTCCAGGGAGCTTTGCGAGTGTCTGAGGCAAGTGCAGTTGTTCCTGTGAGACAGGGAGTGTTGTATTGAGGCTGCCTGGGGCACTGTGGCTCTGTCCTCCTGGGAGGCTGGCTCTGACACACAGAGCAGGCCACTACCCCAGGGGCCTGCAGCCTGTGCTGCCTTACCTAGGGCGGGGGGTGACACACAAGTATCCCCACAATACACCTTTGGCTGATTCTTGGACCCAGGTTACAGAATGCTAACTCAGGAGCCCTGAGGTCCAGAGGATGATTGTTCATAGAGAAAGAGGGAAAGCTGTTGCCTGGACCTCCCTGTGGACAGAACGCCTATTCCCCTTCCTCCTTCCCAAGCCTGTGGTCCCTGGGATTTCTCCAGAGCAGGACTGGGTAGACAGGAGACTGGAGTTTAGGAAACCAGCCACAATGGCTCTGTCCCTGGGTTTGGAATCGCTCCTCAAGTTCCGGGGGCCTCTCAGCTCTTCCTGCAACTGCTTAGGACCCTCCCTCAGGGCTCCAGTGTGGGAAGTCTGTGGGAAAGCTGGGGAGGGCCAACCGGCTGGAAGCAACTCTGACAACATGGAACACGATACAGACAGACTCTGGAGGAGCCGTTCCCTGCGAGAGAGCAGGGTTCCCTGCAAAAATGGGAACCAGCTGGTCACCTTTGCAGCAAATCCATTTGAGCCCAGGTGTAGGACTCCTCAGCTCCCTGGAGAACCTCCTCTCTCATAGCAATAATCACTCAAACTGTGGGAGGCCCTCTGCCCTCAGAACATGGCAACTTCCTACCAGGGTTCAAGAGCTTTAATGACTTCCAGCCCCCGATAGGAGTTCTTGTCTTGCCCATTAGCACCTTGCCTCCAAGCCCAGCTATCAAGGACAGGCCCCATCAAGGATGGAATAAGAGCTATTTCCTAAGACCCTGCTCTTGGTAGTCTTGGTAGGCCAGGTACCTTGTTTCCTCTTGACCTCACATCTACCTTGCAGGGAAGGTGTCATCACCCCCACTTTACAGATGAGGAACACAGAGGCTCATAGAGGTTATGTGGTTTGTTCAAGGTCCCATAGCTCCTAAATGGCAGAACAGTCAAGGCTGGATGTAGCAGCCTTGAAAGCTCATGGCCCCATGCTGCTTCTCAACAGGGAGCAGCGTGCCAAGGTTTGCCTTGGCAATCACTGACAATGTCAGGGAGCCTTAAGGATCATTTGGTCTGTCTCCTTTCACAGAAAAGCAAAAGGGGGTCCAGAGAAATGAGGCACCTTGCATACAGTAGGCATTTGCAAATGTAGAGGTACTTCCTGATGTTGTCCAAGCCCCTGAGCCATGTCTACCCTCTGGCAGGCCTGCCTGGCTCTGCCTCAACTGGTCTCCTCCTTTGGCACCTGCAAGCCCTCCTCACCCCAGGTGCCCTTGCCTTGGGACGGTGACCTGTCCACTTACTGAGCTGCCAGCATGGCACATTTCCCGCCTTGGCCCTGGTACAGGCTAGCCAGCTCCATGACCTCCACCACGTTGACGAAAGCCCTTGGGAGCTGCAGGGAGTGGAGGGTGGTTTCGTTAGGGCACTGGCTACTGCTGGGAGGAACCTGGGGGTCATCTACAATCCAATTCCCACTCCCCTCAATTTTACCAATGAAGAAACTGAGGCCCAGAGAGGGGATGCAACTTGTAGTATCTCACTGAATCTTCTTGAGTGGCCCCGCTTTATAGGTTGAGAAACTGAGACACAGGGAAGTCACTTGCCCGAAGCCACAGTGCTGGGCGCAAACCTGGGCCAATTGGTTCAGAGGCAAGCTCATTGCTACCACACAACCCTGTCTCTGGCCAAGTGAGAATTTTCCCTGCAGAGGAGCTTGACAGCCACCTCCCTCCCTGCCATCCAGGTGCTCACTCATGGCGGGTCTCTGCTCCGTGAGCATCTCACTGAACACAGCCTGCCTACATGCATCCCAGGGAGGTGGCTGGCGGGACCCAGGAACACGTAACCCCTCTCCTACCTCCTCAGAGAGGATGTCCAGGGCCTGTTGGATGTGCTGAACATATTCCGTGGCCAAGTGGGCCTCCTGTAAGGAAAAAAGGGTACTCTCTTTAGCCCCTGGTGCCCGCTCTGAGAGAATGGCAAGAGCATAGGAGGGCTCTGGGGCCTGGGCTAAATGACTGAGTGGGTACAGAGGGGCTTCGGTGGTCCTGGTCAAACTGAGAAGCCCAGTTCTTGTTGCTGCTGAGTCTCTGTAAGGAATCATCCCTTGTCCCCTACTAGACACCATGAACAATCCCAACCCCCACCCTGCTCTACATAATCTCAGACCCAACAGTGGACTCTGCCAGTGCTGGGTCCTGCCACTTTTTGGCCTTGGCTCTCGGCAGTCCCATCCGTCATCTGACCTCAGCCTTCTCCAGCCCCTTGCCATGCCCTGGGTGGCCACACTTCCTTTTTCCTTTGGGCTTTGGTCCATGCTGGTCCCACTGCCTGAAATGTTTTGCTCTCCTGTGTTCCCCTAACTTCTATCCCCTGTGACTCAGTGTAAGGTTCTCTTCCTCTGAACCATCTCCCCAGTAGGAGGCTGATTTAGAGGTGTGTCCACAGCATCCTGGGTGATGCAAACAAGGTACATAGTAGGTGCTCAGTAAGTCCTTGCAGGCTGAATCTCAGGGCTTTGCTTTATAGCAGAGGGAGATGGGCCTCTATTTTTAGATGTGGCTCTGGGCTACAGGCCCAGAAGGTGTCACAGGCTGATACCAGTGGGGGTGCGGGTGGTAACCTGAAGCTCTTATACTCATGGAAGAAAGCATGTCCACAGGAAGTGGGAGTTGAGGCACCCACAAAGCAGCACCACTCAGGCAGGAGGGGAGAGCTCAGGCAGCCCATTATTTTTTCTGGAGACGAAGAGCTGAGGCCAGGTGAGATACCGTGCACTCAATTCCAGCACACTGATGGGCATAGGACCAGTGCTGTTCGCTGAGTTTCTGGCCACAGCCACCAGAAGGGGTACTGGGAGTTGGGAAGAAGGGGAAAGGAACAAGATAGACAATCCATGCCGAAGAGTTAAAATAGAGGAGAGGGGACCTCGTGTCTCCCAGAGTTTCTGCCTTTCCCCCTTTCCTTCTTTTTAAAACAGTCTGAGTTAATCCTAGTCGGGGCAGCCCAGCCCTTTCAACTAAACTACGCTCTCGGAAGTATAAACCTGACTGTTCCCATGAAGAACACACATCCTGGGACTAGTAGAGGGCATTTCCCTACGCCAGCGTCCACAGTGTCCACGCAGCTCTGGGGTCCAGGTATCCCCGGAGTCCAGAACACAGCAATACTTAAATCCCCATGAGTTAGGGTCACTTCTGCCTCTAGAGTGTGGGTGGTCAGGGAGAGAACTGAGGGGAAGAGGTTTGGAAAACCAACTCCTGTGTGTGGGAGGATACTTCTCATCAAGCCTCTGGTAGTTGGCCTCTGTGAGCCACAAGGAGTGATAAATGCCTTTTCCCCCACACCACCATCTGTGACTGTCAAACATTCGACCACAATCTCTGAGGCTGGGCAGCTGCCTTTTCCCGGCCAAATAAAATACAGAATGTCCCCAACTTAGAACAAGATGTATTCCAAAATAAAAACTTTTGGAAGTTACAACTTCCAGAAGTTTGTGAGTCTGGACATATTTCCCCATGGAAACATCAGGAACAGGTTTGGGCTCCCAGGGCCACCACTGAGGTTTGGTTAACTCGTGATGACCCATCCAACCCCATTTAGAACATTGTTTTGCCCTTCCTCAAAATGAAACAGGGCAGGGATGGGGTGAGGATGGCTAGTCCCCTATCTGGTACCAGAGGTCATATTTGTGTGGATAAGAGAGGCCTCACCTCAGCAGTGCCTACAGTGGGTCCACCTTGGCCTTACTTCTGGAATTGGGGAACCAATGCACCTGCTCTTCCAGGGGTCGCTCAGGCAGTAGAAAAGGCTGGGCCTTGCCTGGCATGTGTAAACCAGGGAGGGCCTGGGGCAGCAGGCAAATGTGGTTCCCATGAGCAAGGAGCTCGGGGCAGGGCCAGGGATGGATGGGCAAGGATGTTGCCAGAGGTCAGCACCTTCCTTCTCAGGTCCCCATGGGGTTGGTCGGGGGCCTACCGGATTCTCACAGTAATGACACAAGTCGTTGACCCCAATGAAGAGTGTGACCAGCTTCCAGTCTTTCTCCAGGTTGATGTCCTGAGGGGACAGAAGATCCTGAGTTTAGGCCTTGGTGGGAGGCACATACAAATGTTGCTACTGGGCCAGCCCGCCCGCCCTCCAAGTGCCTTTTGTCTTATTTATACTGTAACAGAGAAAAGCAGCAAATTGGGCCAGGCACGGTGGCTCACACCTGTAATCCCAGCACTTTGGGAGGCTGAGGCAGGTGGATCACCTGAGGTCAGGAGTTCGAGACCAGCCTGGCCAACATGATGAAACCCCGTCTCCACTAAAAATACAAAAATTAGCCTGGCCTGGTGGCAGGTGCCTGTAATCCCAGCTACTTGGGAGGCTGAGGCAGGAGAATCACTTGAACCCAGGAGGCAGATGCTGCAGTGAGCTGAGATCGCACCACTGCACTCCAGCCTGGGTGACAGAGCGAGACTCCGTCTAAAAAAAAAAAAAAAAGAAAAGCAACAAAGTGGGGCTTCCCAGCCCTCAATTGGTGCTAGGATAAGGTGCTCCACAGAGAGGATGTTTTTTTTTTTTGGCGGTGGGCGCTGGCGGGGGACGGGGTTCTGCTTACACAAGGGAGGGCTATTTTCCCCTTGAAATCTTAAGAAAGTTGTGTCCCTGGAGAAGTAGAATGTGGATGTGTCCCACATATCCTTGGCCCATTAAATGCCGAGGGGATTACCACGTCCCCCCAAATGAAGGCCTTCCAGGGAGCTGTAGGCAAAGGATGCAGCTAGAAGCAAAGGCCCTAAGCTGCCCCTGGGATGAGTTCTTAGGGTCGGGGGAAGGAGACTGGAGGAAGAGCCCAGCGTGGACTGAGAAGCGGGGTTGGGGCTGGGAGGCCCTCTAAGCAGTTGGCTTTCCACTTGGCCACCTCCATAATAGGAATCCCACCGGGAGCTGAATTCCTAGGCATAAACACTGAACGGTTAAAAAAAAAAGTGCTAGTGAGAAGTTTCAGAGGGGCAGGGTGAGGGGAAGGAGGCAGAACTGGATTGGAATGAGAAGCCTATTTTTAGAACCTTGCATTTACATAATAGGGCTCTGGGAAGCCACCTCTTGGTTAAAGCAGGAAGCTGTCAGAGGCCAAGGCCACCACCTCAGCCAACTCCCTGTTCCACCTTGCCCTCCCGCAGCCGGCCCTGGGGTGAGGGGTGCCACAGCCTGCGTCTAGGAGTGTGGCCAGGGCAGGCGCCTCCTTGGTAAGGACTGCTTCTCCGAGGATCTTTTGGCTAGCCCAAAGCAGGAAGTGCTGTGGTGAGAGGGACCCTTATGGGGCTGTCCCCTCCCCAGCCAGCAGGAGATGGGCACCTTTCAGGGGTGGCCTGGGGGCCTGTACTCACGGGGCTGTTTTTCATTCGCTCTACCAGGTCCCAGGCCTGGGCTGGCATGTCCCTAGGTGGGGGGTAGAGAGAGGGGCGTTAGTGCCGGCTCAGGAGCGAGGACTCACGACATGGGATTTTGGCCTAGGAAGAGAGGTGTTTCAAGAAGAATGATGTTACCAGTACAAAGGTCATTCCATTCTCAAGAAATCTCAGCTTAGTAACAATCACATGGCTGCCCTGGACCCTGGAGCCACATTGATCTAGCCCCTGCCACCCAATAGTCTCATCGGCCACTCGGGTTGGGATCCCGTCAAGCCTCCCCTCAGGACTTTCCCTTATACTTCCTCAAGCTCTTTCTTCGTAAGCCAAGCCTGTTCATTTCTTCTTCAGTTGCCTGTTTTAAAAATAACCTTTTGTATATTTGAGAAAAGTCACAGCTCTCAATTATCCCTCAGTTTTCTCCTTTCCAGGCTTAATGACTCCTTTAACCTTTACTTCTAAGCCCTGCTCTCTGCTCCTTTAATCCTTTTGTTTTTCTTTTCTGTGGTTACTTAGATTTCCGCACCATTCCCCATCTCCTCACTTTTTTTTTTCTCCCTCTCCAATAAACCAGGATGGACAGGATTAGTTCTCCCTTCATCCCCTGATGTCTGCCATAAATAAAACAATACCATTTGGTGTTCTGGATGAGCGATATGAATGCCAACGGAACACTACTCAGCCATAAAAAGGGACGAACTATTGGTATACCGAATAACATGGATGCATCGCAAAATCATTTTGCTAAATAAGTCAGATAAAAAGTATATACTCTTTGATCCCATTTATATAAAATTTTTAAAAATGCAAACTAATCTATTGTGATGGAAAGAAGGTTAGTGGTTGCCTGGGGTGTGAGGTAGGGACAGGAAGGAGCAGGAGGGAGAGATTACCAAGGGGCCTGAGAAAACTCCTGTGGGTGATGAACACATTTTTCATCTTGATTGTGGTGATGATTTCACAGGTACAATGTTAAATTGTATCCTTTTTGAGACAGGGTCTTGCTCTGTTGCCCAGGCTGGAGTGTAGTGGTGTGATCACGGCTCACTGCAGCCTCAACCCCTCTGAGCTCAAGTGATCCTCCCATCTCAGCCTTCCGAGTAGCTGGGACTACAGGTCCATGCCACCATGCCCGGCTAATTTTTTGTATTTTTGGTAGAGACAGGGTTTCACCAAGTTGCTCAGACTGGTCTCCAACTCCTGGGCAATCTGCCTACCTTGGCCTCCCAAAGTGCTGGGATTAGAGGCGTGAGCCACCGCACCCAGCCAAATTATATCCTTTTAACATGTGACGTTTATTGCATGTCATTTATACCTCAATAAAGCTGTGTTTAAAGAAATGTCTGTGAGAAGTTAGGTCAGCAAAGGGGATATAGCCAATGAAAGTGTCCATGGAAGAAGCCATAAAAGCAGCAACCAGTGCGAGCTGGCCACTGAAAATCTTTGGGTGGCCACGGTAAGCTAGGTACGTGGCCAAACACACATGGTACCATCCCTACCCTTGTTTCTCATTAAGGAGAATTTACAGATCTAGGATTGTATCCCATACATTATTGCTATTGATGAGTATACCAGAAAGCTATAAAGAAAGACTTTTCTGGTCAAAGGTGACCACAGAAGTGCCTTTAACCTTTTAACAGGTTCAAGGTGTGACTAAGAGAATCCATGGGCAATAAGCCCTCGTGGGTAGGAGGGGAAGTTACAAATGCCGCTTCTTCCCCTCTTCCTAGCCATCTTCTTCCCATCCTTCAGGCCCAGACCAAGTCCTACTTTCCCTTGAGCCTCCTCTCTGGGCTCCCTGATCCACACATCTTGCATTTCCTTTTTTACCCCAGGGACCAGTGGTTCTACTTTCAGCTCTGCTACCAACTTGCTGTTGAGCTTGTACAAGTTGCTGAATCTTGCTAGGATTGACTTTTCCCATCTTTTAAAGGAAGAGGTTGGACTGGATGATTTCAGGGGTCCCTTCTGGGTCTGCATCTGTCTTTAGACAGTGCAGTTCATACTGTGTGCTCTTCTGTTCTCTTAATTGTACTCCATGCGAAGCACTGCATTGTTGCCATACCCAGCATTGTCTTTTTCAGAAAGTTATTTCCCATTTGTTTAGCCTCCTTACCTAGAGTGCAAGCTCTTCGTGGCCAGGGAGTTCATCTTTTGATTCCTTTGTATCTTTTATTTATTTTTAATTATTATTATTTTTGGAGATGGAGATTCATTCTTGTTATCCGGGCTGGAGTGCAATGGCACGATCTTGGCTCACTGCAGCCTCCACTTCCTGGGTTCAAGTGATTCTCCTGCCTCAGCCTCCCGAGTAGCTGGGATTACAGGCGTGTACCATCACACCCAGCTAATTTTTGATTTTAGTAGAGATGGGGTTTCACCATGTTGGCCAAGCTGGTCTTGAACTCCTGACCTCAGGTGATCCACCTACCTCGGCCCTCAATGTGCTGGGATTACAGGTGTGAGTCACCATGCCTGGCCCTTTGTATCTTTTAGTAACCACCTTAGGGTTCACTCTTTTGCAGGTGTTCAATGAATTCTTATTGGTTGATGGAAGGAAAGTTAGATGAAAAAAACTTTGAAACTGAAGATCCATTATTAAATGGCAAACTTTTGGTACATTTGTACTGTACTGCTTTTTTGGTGGGTATTATGTGTGGTACTACATTCTTTTCACGGATTATTTATCTCATTTAATCCTTATGACAACCCTGAGAAGTACTATTATTATCCCTATTTATTGCTGAAGAAACAGACTCAGAGATGCTAGGCAACTTGCCCAAGGTCACACAGCTAGCAAGCCTTGGAGCTGGAATGTAGACACGAATGATCTGATCCCACACCCTATGATATTAGGTGTTCTGCTATGGTTTGTATGTTTCTCTTTAGGTGAACTCATCTGTATCTATGCTAATAAACAACAGAATAGAGATAAAGGAAAGTTATAGAGCAATTATCCAACCTCCCTTTCTTAAGTCAATGGATTACTTTCCTTTCCCCTAACATTGGACATCAGAGATACCCACAAGGAGCCCCATGTTCTCAACTACTTCCCTGGCCACTGACTTCATCTGGCAGAGGAGCTGAGCAGCGGTAAAATAGAAAAGGCAATAAGAGAAGTGAAGTGAGAAAGGAAGAAGGGGCTTGATTGTCAACAGAGTGAGAAATCACCTCCTGGAAAATGAAGCCTGTACTGTACAAGAACAACAAAATGATGATGATAATAACAATAATAACAGTAATTAGATGTTGCTATAATGACCTCATAAAGCCCAGTTTTTGCAGAAAAATAATTTCTTCCTGCTCGTGACGTTGAGGAACTGACATCGCTTCCTGTGGCTTAGAGACTCAAACAGAGCATGGGGCCCACGTTACCACTTCTGAAAGGAACATTCCCTGTAAACAGAGTGAGTCAAGCCAGTGTCGTTTCCCTGGTGATCGGAGCATAGTGATCCTTCTACAAGGCATACACCCAGCACGCTCCATGCAGAAAATCAATGAGCCTGGTCAGGCATTTCAGCTTTAATTATCTGAGTTGTTGTCAACAACAGAAATCCCAGTGAAAACAAACAGCCACCATGCTGTTTTGGGGGCCCTGACATCTAACTCCCTAGTGTCAGAATATAGCTTTTTCAGAGCCAAAGACTGAAGTGAGGTGGGGAGAGAGAAAGGGCAGCTATCCCCCGGGTCATGCACTCAGTTGTCGAGGTGCTGAGAGCCACCCTGCACGTTTGACCTGCTGGGCAGGAGGTGGAGCTGGAGCCAGCAGGGACAGCGCCCGGGTCCAGGGCAGATGTGCGCCTCCTGCTGCCCTGGAGAGGCGGTAATAGCACAGTGGTCAGAGCAAAGGCTCCTGATTCAGGCATGGTCTGATCCTGCCTCCTCTGATAACTTGCTGGATAATCTTGGTGGTTCTGGAAAGCTTATAAGCCTCAGTGCCCCTGTCCAAGGGTGTGAGGATCTCAGGAGATAATTCACATAGAAAGTCCTGCACAGCTGCTATTGCCCCTGGGACCAGGCTTCTGGACACCACCCTCCTCTCCTCCGGTTTCCCACCCTGATGTCTCAGTCTTGCCTTCCACTCGCCCTCCTGTACGGCATCTACTCACCTAGCTCTGGCCCCTTCCGCTGCCACATTTAGTCCTGCTGTCCCCTCCCAGGTGCTGGTAGAGAAGCCAAGGAGGTAAGGGTTGAACTTCTTCAGAATGTCTTTAGAGGAGGAGGAGGAGGAGAAGAGCACAGGTGAGAGCCTGCAGGACCCTCACAGTAACTGAGATGAGCATGCAGGGTGGGGACATGGGTGGGACACAGGAGTTCTGGGGCTTTTCAGGGCTGGCTGACTTCCCTTCTTGCAGATAACCTCCTCTTCCCCTCCTCCAGCAGGAAGGCCCTGGCCCCAGGGAGGACGGCCACAGTGATGGTGCCTCTCTGGGCTGCTACTTACTGGGCAGTGTGGTGTGAGTCTCCAAGTTCCCATCCCCTCCAATGCTGGGGAGGAGAAAGCATATTTGTTAAACTCACACCAACATGCTGCTCCCTGTGTCAACATATGCACAAGCCAGAACCGGAACCGGGTTCTGGGCCCCTGGGGCGTCTCTCCCATCACCCTCAGGGGTAATGCAAGCATTGAGTCTCCTGTCTCAGCGCTGGGACCTGGGGACCCAACTGCATCCCTGGAGGGGTGACAGGAAACACACTACTCACACCTCTCTGAGAGAGCATCATCAATAGAGCATGCATCAAGAACATCCTCACCTCCAAGAGAGTCCCCTCCAAGATGTGGGTAGGTCACTGGAGTTGTTTGGTCGAGCTCCCACTGCTGTCTGTAAAAAGCAAAAAGAAAGTTCAGGGCTGGGGTATAGGCTGAGGGCACTGGAAGAGCCTCCTCTGGCCCTGGGGTAGCAGCTAGGACCTGGATTTGCCTTTTCTAAAAATAGTACCGGCTTTTCTCCAGGCCATATTAAACTTGGAGTGGTCTTGATACATTCTTCTCCTCAGTTCTTTACCTACAGCCAGTAACCAAGTCCTGTTGGTTCCTCCTTTCCACTCTCCCTAGCACCCGCCCCTTTCTTTCTGTTCCCTTTGCCGTGTTCCTAACTGAGACCCTCACCTCCCTGCCACGGGCAATACGCTGGCCTCCTGCCTGAGTGAACTGACTCCAGTTTCTGTTACTCCTGCACATGCCTCTTTCTTCATGTTCCCCAACCCCAGCCCTGACCCTTCAATGAGTCTCCCTTACCTTCAAGATTAAAGCCAAATCCCACCACCAATCTTCTGAGGTCACCATAATCTGGTTTCTACTTTCCTTACCCTTGTTTGCTCCCTCCTTCCCAGTCCACACAAATCTTCAGGGCTAAGCTAATTACCTGCCATTATTTTGGAAGCCTGAGGGCCTTGAGCTGGTCTACCCCATTACCACCCACTCCCATACCCTCATGGAATGCTGAACTCCCTCCTTTCCAGCAGCTTACATTTCCAAATTCGTTCTCTAAGACCCTCATCAGTTCCTATCTCCTCTATACAGCTTTCTCTAAATGCCCTGTCTTAAAAAAAAAAAAAAAAACAAAACCTTGAAATTTACAAAAGTAACAGATGTGAAATGATACAAATATTTAAACAAACGAATAATCTACCCCTACCTTAAGAATCCTGCCCCTTGCCACAGATTCCACACTCCCTCCTCACCCACATGCAAATACCACCAGAGCTCATTAGTGGTGAACAGACTCATATGTGCCTTTCCACATCTTTTTCCATGTTCATGCCAAAATGGAAACACATTCACACACATGTGGGGCTGGTGTTTGTTTCTACCGAAATAACTACCCTATTTTAAAAGTCCTAGGTGGAGGGGAACAACGCACACGGGGGCCTATCAGACAGTGGAGGGTGTGAGGAGGGAGAGGATCAGGAAACATAACTCATAGGTACCAGGCTTAATACCTGGGTGATTAAATAATCTGTGCAACAAACCCCATGCCACAAGTTTACCTGTGTAACAAACCTGCACATGTACCCCTGAACTTAGAAGTTAAAAAATAAAAATAAAACATCCAAGTCCTATATGTCATCTATGTGACTATGCATTTCTTTCTGTGTACGTTTCTTGTTTTTCCAGCCAGACAGGTTGCTGGGGGGCTATGACTGTGTTTCATACCTCATTTCCCTTAGAATTGCTAATAGAGTGTTGGTGTACACAACAATGGCTAAGTAATTGGCGAACACAATTCACTTAGCAAGACTGTGCTATGTGTGAGGAACCGGGCTCCCTCTGCCCCAAAGCACATGTCCTTAAATGGAGTAGGGAGCATGGGGCAGTGTGTGTGTAAGACCTGCCACTCTGAGTCTGGGTAGATGGAGATGAGTCCCCTGATGAAGGCAGGCAGACTTGAATGAGTGCCATCACACACCAACAAAACGCCTGTGAACAGTGGGGAAGGCGGGGATTGCTTCTCCCTGGGGAATTGAGGGGAGGCCTCATGGACGAGGGGGCTTTGAGCAGAACTGGGAAGGTGGCGAGACAGGGCATTCTACATCTCCTGGCTGTGTTTCAGTGCCTGACATGGGTAGGCCCTCAGTAACACGGGCTCAGCACTGAAAGCGGAGCCAATGCTGGGGAAGCACAGATTCTGCGCAGGGCCTGGCTGGACTCTGAGCTGCCCATCCTGGTTCATGGCTCACTACTCACAGTCAGAGAGTCACCCAGGGCGGCCACCACTTTGATGTCTGCTGGTCGGAGCTGGTGGACTAGGGGAGACAAGCAGAGAGGTGGTTGTGGGGGCTGGGGGTATCTACCTCTTAAAGTACACATTTTACCAGAAGTCTATAACTCTGTCCCACTGCTCCCCATTGTACTTATTTTCAGCTTAAGGCTTTAGCAGTTTTGCCCCTCCCATTCATTCAGACCAACCAAGGCACTGCAGGGAATGGGTTCCATGGCTATCATCCACCCTCAGAAGAGCCTGATTGACATTGGGGTGGTCCAGGAAAGTTCCAGCTGCAGGGTCATGTAGCACAGGCAGGTAGATCCCAATCCCTGACTCTACCTGCCTCACTGGGCAGGGAGGCCTAAGGGACTGCCACTGGGACTATAAGGAGACAAGAAGTAGCATCCAATGGAGAGCTCTGTGCACCTCCACATGGAAGCCCAGCTGTGGCGGCAGGCCGCAGGATCTAGGTCTGCACTGCAGGGGAATTAGCAAGTCCTGCTTAAAGCTCCAGGGTATGTTTGCAGGGTCTCCCCACAACCTGATATTCGGCAAGGCCCTTAATTGAAGGAGATGATGATGTTTTCACTCACCAGAGGTTGGAACACTATTGGAAGCCTTCCACTCTGTACACAGGAAGTCACTGCCCCAGTTCTAAATCAACAGGAGAAAAGATTCAGTGCCCAACACTCATTGTGCAGGGAGATAAGCTTCAGCCCAAGAAGAACCAGCTAAGGGATTTTTGATGGAGGCTAGAAATGAGTCACCATACAGGATCATGTGAGGGAAAGAACTGTGAGTTATAGGTGGGCTAGGAGGGAAATTAAAGGGGGAGAAATGGGTGTGTCTAGCTACCCCTATGCACAACCCATAGTGCATGTCTCCACATGTGCACCCACACACCACCTTTCTTATCCCCATATATCTATGCTTTGAATGGAGCCAGTGGCTGCCCCAAAGCAGGGAAGAAAACCATGAAGTCCTACACAGGTGGGTCTCCCAAAGGAACACAGCATTTGGATGCCTAACATGAGATTACAGGTATGTGTGTTTTATAAAATTAAGCTAACTGACACTAATTATAATGGTAGAACCTAGACAATAATTAAAATATTTTTAGAATAATAACACAAAATATTTTAAAATTGTAAAGCTCCTGGTTTCTGCCTGTCTTTTCTGGATACCTGTATGTCTTTTTGCATATTTAACTTAACAGCCTTATTCCTTATATGTTTTTAAATTGATGTAAGCAACCCTGGATGCTTTTAGTCAATTTTCTTTGTCTCTAATACAGAACATATTTTCCAGGTGCTGGGGAAAGGAGTGGGATGGGAAGCAGAGGGCATAGAAATGATTAGTACCAGAAATCTGGGGGAAAATTGAGTATCTTCCCAAAGTCTCAAATATATGCATACTGAGTATGGAGTAGGGCTTGACCAGCAGATTGACTGTCCAGGAGTCTGACTGCCAGATGCTATGAAAACTCATCTCATCTGTTCAGTCAGATGATGAAGATAAGACTTGTTGAAATATTCCTATCATGAGAGAGCAAAAATGGAACTTCTTTTAAATATTATTTGCTTAATCCTATGGAATTTGGTTTTTTCCCAAGGGATTGCTCAATTCATCATTCTGATGGATTTCTTCTGTTTAAAGGTTTAATGAACTCAAGAGCATGCTTGTGTGCAGATGACAAATACTCACAGAAAATGCAACGTAAAAAGTTATTCAGCCATCAGCACATGAGATATATCTCAGATAGTTGGTGAACCAGAGATAAGCATATTCCATGTAGATTAACAGATCCTGGTTGGAATTGAAACGTGCTCATCCGTCACAAGGGAAGAACCATGCACCACACCCAAAATCAGTGCATCCAAATCCCCTGAAGATCTTAAGCTGCAGATTCTGATTCAGCAGGTTTGGGGTGGTGCCCAGGACTCTGCATTTCTAAAAAGCTCCCAGGTAAAGCCTCTTTGTGGCCACTTTATTAGTTTTGCTTTTATTATTTTTAATTGACATATTAAGTGTACATACTTATGAGGCATAGTGTGATATTTTGATACATCTCTACAATGTGCAGTGATCAAATCAGGGTAATTAGCCTATCCCTCACTTCAAATATTTACCATTTCTTTGTGTTGGGAACATTCAAAATCTGCTGTTCTAGCTATTTGAAAATATATGGTAAACTGTTAACTATAGTCACCCTACTGTGCTATAAAACACTAGAAATTCTCCTTCCTATATAGCTGTAATTTTCTGTTAATCAATTTCTGCTATCTCTACTCCCCAACCACCATCCACCCTTCCCAGCCTCTAATAACCACTATTTATACTCTACTTCTGTGAAGTCAACTTCTTAAGCTTCCGCATATGGTGAGAACATGTAGTATTTGTCTTTCTGTGCCTGACTTATTTCACTTAACGTAATGTCCTCTAGGCTCATTCACGTTACCTCAGATGACAGAATTTTGTTTCTGTGGTTACTTTGAGTAGAAAGCTGTTAAAACAAACACACGCCCTTCTAGCTCTGGGATTTTTAGCTCTTCCAGCAGCAAAAGCAAAGATGCATGAGACTGAAGAACCAAGAGGGCAGATCCAGACCCATTCGGCTCACCACTGTCTACCGAGCACTTAGTGCAGTGCCCACTCTACATAGGCATCCAATAGGTAAATGAATAAATGAAGAAATGCCTGATTCACAAGATGCAGCTGACATTTCAATTCTCAGGGAATTTGGTCACTGGTTCAATGAGGACAAGCCTCCACTGGGCTAACGTGAGCCTGAGAAAATTCAGAGAGGCTGGACACAGCATAACCCGCAGCCAGCAATCTGGTATTGCTTGCACCCCAGAGCTTAGCATCCAATAGTTCTTAATGATTTCATATGGGTTAGTTTCTTCAGCTGGCTTATAAAATGTCTTTCCCCAATCACTCCTGCTGATGGCCAACCCATTCTACACATAGCAGTCAGGGAGATCTTTGAAAGACGTGAACCAGATCATGTCACTCTCTCCTGAGACCGCCAATGCCTTCCCATCTTTCTCCACTTGAAATCCAGTGGTTTTACTCAGTAATTCAGGCTTTGTGTGATCTGGCTCCTTGGCACTCCTGATCTCATTTCCCCCACTCTCCACCTCATTCTCATGCCCCCAGCCACTCTGACCTTCTTTCTCTTCCCCAAATACACCCAACACAGTCCCACTTCTGAGCCTGTGTGGTCCATGGTCCTTCTGCCTGGGACTGTGTTCCTGGCTCCCTGTATAGCAAGTGTCTCCTCATTATGCATGTCTCAGTTTAAATCTCACCTCAGGAAGGCCTGGCCTGCATGGTGCACCTGAATTTGCCTCCCTTGCCCCAGCCCCATCACGCTCCTCAGAGCTGTCATCACTATCTGAAATGACCATGCCTAGCCATGTATATAAGACACCTTTCTCAGTAGATTGTAAGCTACGTGAGGGCCGGGATCCATCTGTCTGGTTAACATTTCTGTCTTCCTGGAATAGTGTCTGGCACATAGTATGTGCTCAATAATTGTGAAATTCTACTGGGCTCTCACTTCCCTTGGTCCGGACCATGTTCGATACTTCTCTGCATGCCTTCTAGCCCCTAACATGAGACTGGATATAATATAGGTGTGAAACTGAAACTGCGGGTCAAACCCCATCCTGGTGACCAACAGACCTGATCCGGACCAGGCCTGACTGCCAGTCATGGTATAGTCCGGGGTCCTCCAGGCCGTCTTTGCAGTGGCCGTCCTAGGCTCACAGACATGGTTAATCCAATGGAATTAACCATGGGCTCTGAATCCTCAGCACTAGAATGATTGACTTGAACCAAACAAGGCCTAGGGGCCCACAGGAACATGAACGTGCCTCCACTTCCTTTTGGGTCCCATCCCCAGAATTGTAGTTCCCTCCCACTCAGCCTCCACCTTCCAAGAAGTCAACGCCACATCACACCAGCTGCCTCTCCCTCTTGAGAGGCTGAGCTGCCTAAGCAGTAACCACGTCTGTGAGCCCAGGATTGCCAAGGTCAAAGAAAATCGATCCATAGACACTTCCTCTGCTTGGGGGCTGACGTCAGGTAAGCAACTTGAGAACATGTTAGGACAATCCTGGGGCTTCGTGGTCCGGGAGCCTTTTCTGTACATTCCAATCCCCAGTATGTAAGAAGTACATTTCTGCTTCAGTGAATACTCTGAAACCTGTACCACACCCGAGCCCCTGGCAGGTGGAAATGGTTTGTGTCTGAGAGAGGCAGATGTGAGTCAGGGGTTACCTCAATGGCTGGCTTGATGGGGTACGTGTAGTTACTATTCCGAGGGGTTCTCAGGAAGGGCTCATTCTAAGAGAAAAAAAAACACATGGAGAAGTTATCTGACAGCACTGAAGTTTGCTTGAGAAGGAGAAAAACTAACAATCCTGCCCTGTAGATTTATTTAACATGATTCTTCTGCACTTATATAGAAAGAACTGTATAAACATAATTTCATTCATTCCCCCGGAGGGTTTTACATAACAGCTTTGGCAAGGGATGGACAACAAAAGGCGTGCAGAGGGTTTCATACCCATTGTAGTCTGGGGTCTGTGCTTTTGTGTTCCTCCTAGCAACTGAACAGCTCCCTAATCCTCAGACCTATCTATTTTCTTGGCTTTGTAATTTCTCTAGCAAGGGATTCATGTTTCAGCATTTTTTTAATCTTCCAGAAAGTGTTATGATTATCAATATATTTGAGTATCTGTAATGTTTTTCTTTCTGCCTCCTTTGAACTGTATGTCTTTTCCTCTTTAGGTTGGGTTCCTGTATCTTAGTCATTTTTTTTTTCTTGTAAAACACCCTCCTCATTCCCTACTTACCTATCTGTTTTACAATCAGTTTTCACATAAGCCCAGTCAAGAATCCAAGTCCCCCCAGTTGCAGGTGAGGAGTTAGTTAAAGAAGGAAGAAGGAAGCAGACAAAGAAGAAATGGGGAGAAAGCTAATGAGAAAATGTATAAATGACAGCAAAGCAAGATCAAGTTGATAAGACTGAGATCAGGAAACAGCAACCGGGCCCAGGGCTGTGAGCACTCTCACAAAATGTGCTCAGTGGAGTAGTAAGCCCATGGTCTGAAAATGTGAGAATAAAATGGGAACAAGAAGAAAAAACCAGGCTGGCACAGTGGCCCATGCCTGTATTCCCAGCGTTTTGGGAGGCCAGGGTAGGAGGATTGCTTGGGGCCAAGAGTTTAATACCAGCTTGGGAAGCATAGCAAGACCCCATCTCTACGACAAATTAAAAAAATAAATTAGCTCAACATGGTGGCATGTGCCTGTAATCCTAGCTACTCAAGAGGCTGAAGCAGAAGGATTGCTTGAACCCAGGAGTTTGTGGTTACAGTGAGCTATAATTGTGCCAGTGCACTCCAGCCTGGGCAACAGAGTGAGACTCTGTTTCAATAAAAAAAAAAAAAATTAGTCTGGGCACAGTGGCTCACACCTGTAACCCCAGCACTTTGGGAGGCCAAGGGGGGGTTCATCACATGAGGCCAAGAGTTCAAGACCAGCCTGGACAACATGGTGAAACCCTGTCTCTACTAAAAATACAAAAAAAAAAAAAAAAAAATCCAGGTGTGGTACACATCTGTAATCTCAGCTACTTGAGAGGTTGAGGCATGAGAATTGTTTGAACCTGGGAGGCAGGGGTTGCAGTAAGATGAGATCATGCCAGTTCACTCCAGTCTGGGTAACAGAGCAAGACTCTGTTTCAAAAAAAAAAAAAAAAAGGGAAAACCAGAATGTTGGAAAAGTGATCTCGTCTCATACCTGACCACATGTACGCAACCATGTTCTTGCCTGGCATTGTAGATGACTGACTTTGCAACCCCCAAATGCCCCACTTTATAGATGAGCAGCTGCTGAGCCCCAGAGTGAGGAAGGGACGGGTTCCAGGTTAGGGAACAAGTGATGAATGCCAAACTGGGGCCAGAGCTGACTGGACAAGCCTCTTGCCTGGTTCCGTTCCTCACACTGGAGGTCAGGCCAACAAAAACCCTGTTGGTCAGACAGCGGGAAAGGAAGAGAGGGACTCAGCAGCGACTGGGAGGACAGAGTCCACCCACACAGAGCTCTCAGCCCCCAGCTCAGATACTGGTTCCCTGAGGCACCCGACAAGTCTCCCCTTTCCCTGGTCTCAGCATTCCTGTCTGAAACAGGTAACCGATATCCTTTCTTTCTTGCTTGCTTTTTTGAGACGGAGTCTTGCTCTGTTGCCCAGGCTGGAGTGCAGTGGCGCGATCTCGGCTCACTGCAAACTCTGCCTTCTGGGTTCATGCCATTTTCCTGCCTCAGCCTCCCGAGTAGCTGGGACTACAGGCACCTGCCACCACAAATGGCTATTTTTATTTTTTGTATTTTTAGTAGAGACGGGGGGTTCACCATGTTAGCCAGGATGGTCTCGATCTCCTGACCTGGTGATCCGCCCGCCTCAGCCTCCCAAAGTGCTGGGGTTACAGACGTGAGCCACTGCGCCCAGCCCCTGACATCCTTTCAAGGAGAGGTACTCAGGGCCAAGTGGGAGAAGTGAGCCCTGGACCCTCTACAACAGCATAAGACAGGAGAGGGCTTATGGTGGCAGGTCCATGTAGCTACTTGGGCTTGTCTCGGGTTAACAGTAAGCATTCCCTGAGCATTCACCAACAAAGAGGGCGATCTGGGAGCATGCTATAAACAAGTGACCCATGCTGGTTGAGCAGCTCAAGCGTTAGAGAGCATTTCTAGGTGCCAGGATGAGAGGAGGAGAGAGAGAAACTCACAATTGGCTCAGGTGGGGAGACAGACTTGAGAAGCTGAGGCAGTGAAGCATCAGAGAATGGCATGGCCAGTCAGTGTAGTACCTGCTGAGGAACTGAGGCAAGATTTGGAGAGGTAGGGTCCTCAGAGACAAGACTCAGTGGCATTCTCCCTGCACGTCAAAGGAGCCCAGACTCAGCTTAGGGTCCAGGGGCTGGAGTCAGTCCTACCGTGACCAGAATGGGAGGCACTGAGGGAAGGACAAACTTGACCTTTTTGGAAGTGCTGCGAGTGCAACTGGACAATGTGTTTCATTGAATCTATTTGATCACAAGATCTACAGGTTGGGGAAAGGGAGGCAGAGCTAGAGGGCTAGAGGTCAAGGAGACACTAGAATGTGTTGCAGACTGAGGCCATGGCAAGAACAATTACAGCCCAGGGTTGTGGCAGACAGGCAGCCGGGGTGCCTCAGGGCTTTCCTCCCCCTCCCCTTCTTTTCTTTTTTTTCCAACTCCTATGTTCCTGTCTAATGGGTTTTATTGGGTTTTATTGGGCTTGTTTTTAGCTGGGTTTATTGACCATTGACCATTTGGTGCATGCATGAGTCAGAGTGGTTTAAAGGCCTGGAGCCAAAGCAGATGACGTGAAAGAGGGGTTTGATTGAGCCTGACTGGCTCTTGAAGGCTAGATTTGGAGCCCCCGTGAGTAGAAAGGGGGGCCGACTGAATGGCAGAACAAGGAACCGGTCTAGTAGTTCCAGCCATGCAAAGACGGTGTGGGCTGCCTGGGGAGGCAGAGCCCAGCCAGCCTCCTGATGTGAGTCAGCAACGTGAGTCAGTGGCTGTGGGACAAGGCCATCAACATCCTGGCTGCTTTACCAGGTGTAGTTCCATGGGGAAGGAGGGGTGATTTTCTTCGCTGGTTGTGCTGGTTGGATCAAACCAGATGTACAGTCACCACCTTACAAGGGGCCACATTCCAAGGAGAAATACCCATATGAGGCAGGGGTTGGCAGCCATGTGTGCAATGAGTGGCTGGAACTGAGAAGACTCTCAGCTGGGTGGTGGCAGTCAGAGGCAGGAGGACATAATGGTATTTCACGGGATGTCCTAAGAGGTTTTCTATCCCATTCCATTCAAAAAGTGCTAGTTCCGGCCGAGTGTGGTGGTTCACACATGTAATCCCAGCACTTTGGGAGGCCAGTGTGGGAAGATTGCTTGAGCTCAGGAGTTTGAGACCAGCCTGGGCAACAGAGTGAGACCCCATCACTATTAATTAAAAAAAAAAAAGTGCTGGTTCTTTACCTACACTGATTTCAGGTGGTAAGAAAGTGTGAACATTTGGGGACAGAGAGCATTAGGACAAATACCTAATGCATGCACAGCTTAAAATCTAGATGACCGGTTGATAGGTACAGCAAACCACCATGGCACATGTATACTTATGTAACAAACCTGCACCTTCTGCACATGTATCCTGGAACTTAAAGTCAAATAAATAAATAAATAAAAAAGAAAGTGTGAACATTTAAGCAGAGGCCATAGGGTGTCTTGGGAGGGATGTGGTAGAAGAATTCCATTATTCTATGAGAGATTGCATCCACAGAAGTCTAAGGCCCTCCCCACTGAGAACCTAAGATTACATAAGTCTATTGTTTCATGGTGGGAAGGTGCGACTAGTTAGCCTTTAACGTACAAAGTGATGAGAATCTGAGCCCCTGCAGTGGCAGTGGGAAAAGGAAGAGGGACAGGTGGGAAGAATCCTATTAGATTCTGGAGGACTGGTAAGAATCCGATTAGATAGGGTCCCTGACATTTCATGCCTGTAGAGCTTGAAAACCCTAATGAAGTTGGCAGAAATAGAGAACTCCTAAGGAACAGAGAGTTTGGGAAGACAAAGAATTAGTTCCTATTTAGACACTCCTTGCTCAGAAAATTATTTTTTGAATGAATGTTAAGCTTGAGATGGTGGTGGGGTCATGGCAGGATTGGATTTAGAAGCTCTGAGCGTCAAAAAGATAACAATGTCACTTATATGTAATTCAATACAGAAGCACTGCTAAACAACAAACTAAGTTTAAGGGAATTTGATAAACTTCGGCTTTTTCTCATAAGAAAAGATAGGGTATGATACATGAACTTATTTCAGCCCCCTCCTGCTTGATCATACATTAATCTGCCTTTTGGGTAACCTTATACCAGATAGAGCATCCAAGGGGAAATGTATTTTAAAGGTCAGAAATAGAGGATTGGAGTTCGGGAAAGGAGAAATGAAGACACAGATTGAGAGACTGAGGAATCCAGCACAAAGAAATTTTACAGGAAATCCTGGAAATGGGTAAGTCTCAGAGTGAGAGGATGTGGAGAGAGAGAAAAGAAAACAGAGGCCGGGCACAGCTGCTCACACTTGTAATCCCAGCTCTTTGGAAGGCCAAGGCTGATGGATCACTTGAGTCCAGAGTTCAAAATCAGCCTGAGCAAAATGGCAAGACCCCACCTCTACCAAAACAAATAAACCAAAATTAGCTGGGCATGGTGGTGCATGCCTGCAGTCCCAACTACTCAGGAGGCTGAGGTGGGAGGATGGCTTGAGCCTAGGAGTTGAAAGCTGCAGAGAGCTGTGATTGCGCCACTGCACTTCCAGCCTGGGAGACGGAGCAAGACCCTGTTTCAAAAAGTGAGTGAAAAAGGAAAGAAAATAGAATGGAGACATGAAAATTGGAGAATATCTACATTTTCAAGACTGGGGAAAGGGAGGAGGAGGGTCATTAAAGGCAAGCAAACAGAAGACCAGAAAAATCAAGGCGATTTAGTGTCCACAAACCCAGGAAGGAGTGAATTTCAAGGGGGAGGTGGTGACTTTTGACAAGGGCTTCAGAGAGGTCAAAAAGAATGAAACCTAAGAAAAGGACCAGGTGTTCAGCCAGCTGCCCTGGGGTTAGGAAAGGAGTGGGCAGAGAGCCCATTAAGGCAGAGTATAGGCTCAGTCCACAGAAGGCTAGTCAAAAGTTGTCTGTAAAAGAATTTGTCCAACTTGAAACTACAACAGAAATCCATGGCGTGCTGTTAAGTCACCCTACCTGGCACACAGAACGTATGAGCAGTTAGACTGCGGATGGGAGAAGGGAGGAGGCTGAGAAAGCTCATGCTCACAGCCATCTCGGCCTCCTGCCTCCCGCCCCCCACTGCGTCTTGCCTGTTGCCTGTTGCCTCTATGTTTAGACACATCTAGGACAAAAATAGGTGCTGCCTGGCCCCTGTCAGCTCACACTGAGATGCTGGTGGACTTTTATATCACTCCAAGGCACATGGGAGGGAGCAGATGGGACTGAGGAATGCAGAATGCTCAGAACACAGTGAAGTTGGGCTGGCCAACAGATGGACCCTTTCAGAATGGGCTCCAATGTTGCTTAGCAACAGCTTCACCAGGGCTGGGCTTCTACTGGTTCCACGAGGCTGGATCTGCTCACCTCTGCAAATCAGTGCAGTGGCTCCATTGGGCTCTGTCTAGAAGGGAGGCACTGAGCCCACTCAGCTTAAGATGCTGCTGGGTGGAGCAGCCTCCTTTTGGGGGTCTCTGCCTGATCTGGGGTAAAGCCTGGAAGTGGTTGCCTCGAAGCCCAGGGTGACAGGGCTCTCCCTGACCCAGTGCTTAGGCTCCAACTCAGTACTCAATACACGTTTGTTGAAAGAAAGAGCAAATGATGGCTGCTTTTGTTATGTAATGGAAGGGGAGTGGACAGTTTGGAAAGGGCCCTCCATGGCTGATATTCAGTATGGCTATAGGGTTGGTAAAATATTGACATATCTACAATATGGCTATTTCTGAGTCCCCAAATGCCCCCACTATCCACGGTCCCTGGCTGCTCCCCTAGAACCCCCAGGCATCCTTAGGAAAGCAGTTAAAGAGTTTACACCTGGCACAGTAGGGGCCTCTAAGGTTTTGCTCCAGGCCTTTGGCCAGCACCTGACCACCTGGACTAGAGGCATCTGTGTTGCACTAGCTGTTGCAGAATCTGACAATCTCCTTAGCTCCAAGCACAAGACCCAGCAACTGAGCCCTCTGCTACGACTGTCTTCACTTCCCATCCCTTCTTCCTGCCATTCTTGCTCTCCTGATGGGGCTGATGGCACACAAGACTGAGCCTGAGCCCAAGACTGGGGTAGGGCAGGCAGCAGACAGGGAGCAGGCATGTGAACAGGGGTGCCCACTCTCTCAGGATTCCCAGCAGACACATGGGGGAGCTGCAGGTCCATTCCCCAGCAGGGAGGGTGGGAGAGGGTGGTGTGGCCGACCTAGGAGGGAAACCCAGCCTCCCAGATTGGGTCAGGCCTTCTGCTTTTATTGCTGCTGAGGGTTTTCTGGCCTTGGCCTTATTTGGTTAAAAAGCCATAAGACCGGGCCTAGAAACAGGAGCTGAAGACAATGAGAACCTGCCCCCACCCCAGGCCTGAAGTCAAGCTTAACAACCACTTACGGATTCCTCCTTAAAAGGAGCCTGGAGCTGCCGTGTCCTGGTAGGCCCACCCTCGTCCCTCCTCCATACAGCTCTGGGCTCTGCCCTTTGCTGCTGTCCTCTGTGATCCTTTCCTTGTGGAATCTCCCTAATCCAGGCTCTCCTCTCTCCAACCACAGCTCTTAAGCCTGCCTGGCTCCTGCCTGGGCCCTCTAACCTGCAGTCAGATTTTTTCATCTGCCCCAAACACCACTGCTAAGAGAAGCCCTCCTGCCATTTTCCTGGCATCCTGATTTCCTCTCTCAGGAGCCCACTTTTCTCACCGGGATCCTCTCCCTCTGCTGGGGCCCAGGCCTCCTCTCCCTGCTGCATCTCCTGTTCCCAATGACAGCTGCACTCTTGTCTCCCCTCTCACCTCCCCTGTCCATCCTCATGGACTCCCCTCCATCCTCCAAATCTCTCAGGCCTCAGTAAGGGGGCAAGATGGGTACTGAGGAAGCTGTGGTGGAGGACGAAGTGGGTAGGGCGAGCTGTGTGCCCTGGTTTGTGGAGAGGAGCCAGGCAGGTCCTCCCCTACTACCTGAGTGGGACAGGTGATGGGCATCTCTGCTCTCAGGTCCAGGGTCTCTGTTTTGCTTCCAAGTGGTTCAAGCTGATCAGGGAAGAAAAGAGAGACACGGGTGTAGTAGTTTGTTTCCATGGAAGTGAACATTCCCTGGCAGAATCCTGCAGTGGGGAAAGCTCAGAACTCGATTTCAGGGGGCTTGGCTCCCACTTCTGGCTCTGCCAGTTGCCAGCCGTGGGGTTTTGGGCCAGTCGCTTTGCTTCTCTGGGAGTAGCTTCCTTGGAGACTCGTCATGCTTCTCTAGCAGGGATATGCAGAGCCTTAAATGAGATAACGTGGCTTAAACTGCCTAACATGGTGGCCGGCACATAGGGAAAGTGGAATGAATATGGGGTTTTGGGCTTGCATTTCTGTAGAGAGGTCCCTCCTCAGAGTTCAAAGCTCTGAGGAGAGGGTGCAGTTGAGCCCAGGCTGAGCAGACTCTTAAGGACTCCGCATTTCCAACTGCATAGACGTTTATAGATGTACCAGCCACTGCCCCCTCAGCCTCACTTGCAAGACTCCATTCTATAGGGGCTGGTGCCCTGCCCTAGACTAGAACCCCAGAGAACAAGGAACACCCCACTTATTTTACCATATTGGTCCAAAGGGCTCTGGCCAGCTGGGAGTGGAATTTCTGATTTGGGTGGATGCAGTCTGGGGCAAAGAAGGACGTATCTGGGAGCCCATCCTGAAAGAGACCAATATACCCCCTCAAGATCCTATTGGTTCAGAGGGAGCCACCACCAGCGGACTTGGCCCTGGGACTGACCACTCAACACCTTCCTTCCCCTGGAGTGCTCCAGGTCACCAGCCACCACAGGGCCCATTCACCTTAACAGAGAGATCAGAGCGATCCCACAAAGAATAGTTTTGGGTGACGCCAACCCCCAACCTTCCTTTTTGACCCTACAAGTGCCCCTTATTCAATTAGAAGTGTCGTATTTATTTTTGGGCACATTCATGTAATGCCCGAGGCCATGCCACAGATGAAGGAGTGGGATCCTGGTCCCGCAGAGAGTCTTAGCCCAGCCAGCTGGGAAAAGCTACTTCCCAGCTTTTGGTCTGCTGGTCCTGGTAGTCTTGGTGGGGAGAATGGAACAAAGCCTTGGGGAAGGCCTGGGTAGTTGGGTCCCCTGACTCCAGCCTCTTCATCTGGAGGTGCTGGGGGTGCATAGAGCTGCTCTCCTTCCTGCTTTCCAGTTAGGTGAGGCTCTTGGGATGGCAGCCCAGGGGGACAGACCTCAGTCCTCACCTGGTCCACTCACAGATCTCTTCTGTTCAGAGTGGAAGTGCCAGGCAAAGGGCATGGCCTGGGTGGAAACAGAGAACCCCCAGAATGCTCCCTTATAACCGCAGCGTTGCACACGAGAGAGACCACGTGCGTGGCAGAAAACTAGTCATCTGGAGCTGGCTGTGTTCATGTTGGCCTCCCTGTCCCTTATTTCCTAAATGATCTTAGGAAGGACGCTTCACATCTCTGCACCTGTGTTCCATGCGGATGATCACACTCATTTCCAAAGGCAGATGTGACAGTTTTATCTATGGGAAGCACAGTGCCTGGCACTAGTAGGTGCTCAACACAATGGAGGCTGTTACAGGGGTCATGGGAGCCTCGCACATACGGATGTGGCTCAGGCGTTCAGGGAGCCTGCACCTGCCAGCACAGCGTCTGGAGAGCTGTGTCTTTCCCATTTTATGCACATGCTCGTGGAAGCAACTGGCAATTCTGCCTTGCATTTCTTCCTCTAAAAGAGTACCATGGGTGAGGGCAGGGGACATACCGCCAGGACAGGGAGCTGGATGTTCTGGAAGAAGGGCTGCAGCACCACAGAGAAGTCCTCCTGCGTGTCATAGCGGCCTGACCCCACCAGCTCGCGCATGCTGCTCTGGGGACACATGCACAGGGTCTTCAGCCCAGGCCCTGGGTGGGCCCAGGACCCAGTGAGGCAAGAGTAGGGGTGGTGGGCAGTCCATCTCCCTGGATGGAGGGGCCGACTCAGCCTTTCCCTTGAGAACACAAATCACCTGAGGGCAAGTCCCTTTCCAGAGAATTTGGAAACAGGTTGGGTCACCTTTTTGTTTTGATTGTAAGTAGACTACTCTCTCTGAAGGGCTAGGCAGGAAGTCCCAAAAGGGATAAAAACCTGGGAAGAACCTCCAGAGGCTCGGCACCTGCCTTTGGAGTGGGAGTGGGGGAGGGAAAGGTGGTCTCATGAGGCATCCAGGGCTACGGGCCAGGAGTTGGGGTTAAGCCCTCAACGGTAGCTGGGCCATGAGGGCTTTTCCACCTGGATCCTACTGGGATGATTCCAACCAGGGCACCTGAGACACCACAGTCACGTGAGACAGAGGAAGGCACCCAGGCTGCTCCCCGTCTCCCCACAATCCCTGACCAGCTTTTCCTTCCCTGTGTGCCTCCTCTAGGGGCTCTGGGCTGTGTGTTAGAGTGAACGTAGGGGAGAGGACACAGCATGGTGCCCTTCTTGGTCTTACCCGGTAGGCTCGGCTGAAGGCCTCCAGCCTGGCTAGCTCTTGGGAGTTCTCCCGCAGGGTCAGAACGCAGTTACACAAAACGCTGCACAAAGAGGGGGAGGCAGGAGGCCCCAGAGCTCAGGCTTCCATCAGGGGCTGGTTCTGATTGCCCAGGTTCAGGGGAGGGGTGGAGAGGCTCCCTCCCGCCCTGGTTTAGGAGCACTCAAGCCTTGAGGCTCTGGCGCACATGCTCAGGGGCAGGCTTCAGGCCTGGCAGGGGCACTGGAGATGGCCCGAGGGAGGGAGCCAGTGTGGGAATGAGCACCCTCTCATACCAACAGAGCACAAGTGTTGGACTGCAGGTGCTGGGCCTGCAACCGATTATTCAGCTGAGCAAATGAATTTGGGCAGTGAAAATTTAGTGTTTAATTAAAAAGAAAATGCATCCTCTGGTGTTGGAGCTGATATTTTGGGGCCTCTGATGCTATGCCTTAGACCTCTCCTTCTTTCACATGAGTGCCCTACTGTGTCCCCTTTGGTTTCATCATGAATTATTTCACACCCATCACATCTACTTAAGAGAGAGATTTCTAAAGCACTTGAAACAATGCCTGGTACACAGGAAGTTCTGTAAGATTTGCTGAGTAAATAGATGTGTAAGATATAAAGAATAATAAAACACACATCCATGTACTTATGGCCCAGTTTAAGAAACAAAACACTCCCAGTTTGAAGCTCCCTGTGTCCCTCCTAATTCTCTTCTTCCCCTAAAGGTAACTGAGTTGCTTGTACCTTTTCCTTGCTTTCTGTTACAGTTTGACCACATATGTCTACTTCCCTAACCACTGCCCATGTTCACAGTCTAGGCTATCCTGTCTCTCAAACACCAGCCTCTGTCCCAACTTTGATCCCTCCCCTCTGTGGCTGCCTGGTATCATAGAAGTTCCTGCCAGGCACCTTGAAGTTGGGTAACAGGGGAGTCATGGCTCCAGCCTCTGGAAGGGGACGTTCTGGCAGAAGTCCTCCTTTACAGACTTGGACACATGGATAGACCAAGTCACAAAGACCCTGAGGCATCACCACTGCATGTGGGCCAGACCAGGAGGTGAGGGCATCTCCAGTGTGGGGACAGCCAGGACCTGCCTACCTGGCCTGCTGCACTGGGCACTTGTCTGGGTTTCCCAGGAACACCTGCCGCATGATAGTGGGGTTCAGGAAGTCCACGAGGTTGACCAGGACTCTGGGCACCTAAGGGAAAAGCTGCAGATGAGAGGGGGGCTCCAGGCACTTCTTCCTGGGGCTGTCTCAGGGCCCCTAGGAATGGGTTCCTTTAGCAATCCAGCTTGGTCTTTCTGGAGTTGAGTTCTGGGGAGGAGTCTATACAGGGCTACCTCGTAGGGCCTTACAGGCCGTACATCACACAACTCCATGGGTGCCACCCAAAGGGGCTGCAGCGGCAATGGCACCTCCTGGAGTGGGACAATAAAGACTAAGAGATCATCTCTGTTTAGCCATCATGTAGCAAGCCCAGATACATTAGAATTACCTTCGGTGAGATAGGCAACCTCTTCCCTCCAGCCCAAACTGGCCTAACTCTGCTGAGTAGGCACGCAGACTCAACCCCCACAGGGGAGCATCTGGTGGTCAGAGTGCCCTGTCTCACGCAGCCAGGGCAGCTTGTCCTTGCCAGAAGATGGTGGTGGTGGAGGGGGAATGTGCTGCTGGGTGCAGGACCAGACAGGGGCTTGCTCTAGACACACCCTGTGGCTCAGAAGGCAGTGCCCAGCCTGGGGGCCACCTGGCTGCCACCACCAGAAAATGTCCCGGATAGTAGTGGGGAGACATTAGACAATTCCACCAAGGAGTGTCCCATGTAGTGGTGAGGGAACAGCCTTCCCTCCTTCAGACCTGAGGCCCTTCTGGGCTGATTCCATATAAAATAAGGTTTCCTTGGGGTTAGACCCCAACCTCTGAAAAGGGAAGGAGTCCATGCCCCTGGCTGTCTCCTTGAGAGAAAGGGGTTCTTCTCTCATTCTTTCCCCCCATCCACCTTCACCCTCACCATGCTTGAGCTGTTACCAGCTTGTGGAAGCCCCCCACCCACCTCTCTATGCAGGACGTCCAAGGCATTGCGGAGATGGTGAACAAAGTTGGCTGCAGAATACAGATTCTAGAAAGAGACAGGAAGGAGGAAAAGGAGGAACTGGTTAGGGTGGGAGGGCAGTGGGGCAGTTCTCAACTTCCCTTCTGGCTCCAGCCCTGAGGACTTGTTCCCCCTCTAGCCTCCAGCTGTGGCCAGCTCACCATGTCAAAATCTGAGATGAACAGTTGACTACTTGCTGTTGTCAAAGATGGGCCAGTGGGAAGACTGGAACCTTCAGCCAGAGCTTTGGTTCAGGAGCAGAAAGTGGAGACTCCTCCTTCCAATTGCTTGCTACAGTTTCCTCTTTCTGAATTCTCAGGAGTTATAAGAGAGAGGAGTAGAAATACCATATATCTGCCACCTGCTACCTCACCACCTAGGACATGGAGATGGTGCCAAGGACCTGGAGGGTGGTGGGGTAAGAAGTGTGTGTGTGTGTGTGTGTGTGTGTGTGTGGTATGTGTATATGTGCAGACATAGGTGTAGGTGGATAATCCTAGGATTGGTTTTAGGAACTGTTCTCAGGGAAGATCTCCAACGCCTACTGGGCAAAGTTAGGAACAACAAGTAGGCCTGGACCTGGCCCCAATTACCGAATCTGTGCAGTAGTCACATAAATCGCTGCCTCCGATCAGCACTGTGATGACCTTCCAGTCTTCATGGAAATTTACTCTCTATATGGAGGGAGGAAAATGCTTGATAATTTCCAACAAGGAAATGAAAATATCCCTGCCCTAGGAAATCCATTCAACCCTCTATAACATCCTTGCCCACTTGAAATAATGGAATCAGCATCTCTGAACTGAAGGAATTTTAGAGGTTTATTTATAGACCACAGACTCTTAGCATCAGGAGGGATTTTCAGTGTCGCTGTACCCAGCAACAAAGCTCTCTCCATTGACATACCCTCCTCCACAGGACCTCTGTCAGGGGGCTGTCCGACCACTGCTTGAATGCCTCTAATAACATGGGGCTCACTGCTTTTCAGAGCAGGCCACTCCGTTTGGAGACAACTTTAGTGGGTTAGAAAATTAATGTTTAGAAATAACAGTAAATCTGACTCACATGATCATCTTTCATCTTCTGCATCAGAGTTTGGACTTGGCTCATAAGATCCCTGAGAAAGAGAGAAAACCCATCCTTCTGTTGAGGAACAGTGCCCATAGTTTTCCTCCTAGAGGGCCTGAACCAGAGGCTTCTACAGTATCATCCCCACTGCATGAGCTGGCAGAGATCCCGAGGCTCAGAAACCAGGAGTGACTTGCCTCTTCTGGAAAGTTATTACAACAGATAATCATTTGAAAAGCCAATGATGTGTTTGTCCTACAGCTGTAGTCAAAGTACTGCCAATTATATTTGTTGCTCATGGTCACCTTTCTGGGACTCCACATGCAAAAGGGCCTTTAGGATTCCATGCTAAGAGACCATTCATCTCCTTTGGAAGACTAGTTTAGATCCTAAAATTAGACCTATGAAACTTCTAGCATGCTTCCTCTTTTCACTCTGGCTGCCAGGAAGCTGAGTTTGATGCTCAAACATAATAACCGTAAAAATGTTCATATCGACACACAGGCTTCCTCTTTATTTCCTCCAATGGCTGCGATTTTTCTCTTACGTATATTCTTTTGTTTGTAAACTTATCTAAATGGTTCTTTCAAAAAGAGGTAGGGAATCATATGTGCTCTACACATGCTTGGGTTTATAATTTATGGAAGGTGGCAGGCCTGGTGGCTCACGCCTGTAATCCCAGCACTTTGGGAGGCTGAGGTGGGTGGATTGCTTGAGTCCAGGAGGTTGAGACCAACCTGGGCAACATGGTAAAACCCCATCTCTACAAAAATTACAGAAAAATTAGCCAGGTATAGTGGTACATGCCTGTAGTCCCAACTACTAGGGAGGCTGAGGTGGGATGATTGCTTAAACCTGGGAGGTGAAGGTTGCAGTGAACTGAGATCATGCCATAGCACTCAGCCTAGGTGACAGAGTGAAACCCCATCTTAAAAACAAAAAAAGGCCAGGTGCAGTGGCTCATGCCTGTAATCCAAGTACTTTGGGAGGCAAGGTGGGTGGATCACTTGAGGTCAGGAGTTTGAGACCAGCCTGGCCAACAGGTGAAATCCTATCTCTACTAAAAATACAAAAATTAGCTGGGCGTGATGGTAGAAGCCTGTAATCCCAGCTACTCGGAGGCTGAGGCACAAGAATCACTTGAACCTGGGAGGCGGAGGTTACCGTGAGCAGAGATTGTGCCACTGCATTCCAGCCTGAGTGATAGAATGAGACTCTATCTAAAAAAAGGCCAAAATTATAATTTATGGAAGGAATAGATTTCAGGCGTCTGTGCTCCCCACTTCCACTTGTTCAGGGCCCCGTTATAGACCTGGGTGGGATGGATCCATAGCAAGGTGATCTCCTAGGACACGGTGGTGGGACCATCTGTCCCCAGCTGTTTCTATTACCAAGAGTCTTTCCAGGCTGAGGGAGTGGGTCTGGGGGCCACACCCCTCAACCAGAAGGTGTGGGCCTGAGCAAGAAGATGACATGTGACAGAGGCTCAGATGGCTGAGCCAGGAGCTGCATAGAGCAAGAAGACCTAGGCTGCTGGGGCCTCTAGGAGCAGGGTGGGGGCCCCTTTGGAGCCCACCCCAGGAGGCTGGGCAGTTGCTCTTCTTTGGGTACCTCTGGGCTTCTCCATTCCATTTCTTGTTAGCTCCATAATGGGGCTAGGGAGGGGACATGACTCTTTGCTCCAGATGCCTCTAGGGCCAGAAGGCTTGCCCCATCCATTTGGTTGGCCCTCTCTGATCTTTTTGGGAAATTGCCACTTGTGAGGTTCTGCGGGGAGTGGATCTCTCTAGCACTGTTGTGCCTTGGTGAGTTGTAAACATTGGATAAGGTTAGTCGATTCGTCCAATTATGAGAACATGCTGCACATGAAGGCAAGGTCAGGAGTTGAACCTATAGGGGCATCGCATCTCTCCAAGGCCACAGCCTCTCTGGCCTATTACAACCTTCGTCACAGGGGCAGCAGGGAAGAGGGCAGCCTGAGCCTCACAAGTGGCTAAGTGCCCCTTTGCACATAGAGGCCAGCCCCATGGTCTTAAAGGGTACTATCCACATTCCACTCCCTGCTCTGCAGGCTCCCTCCCTCCCCAAATGCCATACTCAGCCTTTGCTCCGGGAACAGCTTGATTGAGGAATGCATTCGTGTCATTGGCATCACCCGTGCCCACGGCGTAGCCTGTGAGGTTTCTGTTAAACTCCCGAAGGATATCTGGAAGAGAAGGTGAATGGGATGCAGACGGCTCAGAACAGAAAGCCAGAATAGCTTCTCTGGTACTGTGGGACCTAGGTCCCCAAAGTGGGCTGTGTTATCATCCTCATGCTTCCTGGGGAGAGGCAGGGAGGCAGTGTGTGTCCTGGACATAAGCTGGGACCACCCTAAGTTGACATGACCTGATGACTAGGTGGGCCAGGGTGGCAAGAGCCTCTCACTCTTGTATTAAATTGTATTAATACAATTCACAGTGCATTGAAGGGTCACTACCTAATTTGTCTCAGCACCTCCTGGGCCTGTTGGAAAAGCCTGAGGCTAAAAATAGCGGGTAACTTGCCCTAGGTCACCTGACAAGCACATCGGAGATTGAACCCAGCACCAGGGATTGAAGCACCAGGGATTGAACTCAGATCTTCAGGCTCTAAATCTGGTGTTTATTTTACCTGCCTCGGCTGCTTTTTCATAGCCTCCTGTCTCCTACTTAAATGCTGGGCCATAAGGCAGATGTCATTTGCTGCTTACCTGGGAGGCACTTTCGGGAAGCCAAGGGGCCAGATGGGTGGAACAGTAGACAGATTCAAGCCCCTGATGGTTACTTACTAGGTAAGGTGGTCACATTCTCCAGGGAGCCGTCCCCTCCTGCACTGTAGGGAGTGAGCAAGCCAGTGAATGAGAGGGAGAGACATATTGGTTGAATCAATCTAGGAACTTTACACAAGAGCAGCCCCCACCCTTCTTAGTGCCCATCGGCACCTTTGAGATGGGCCAGACCCATCTCTGAGTTTGAGGAATTCTGAGAAAATTTTTAAGCCCCTAACATATTGGTTCCCTACCGAATCCAGGATTTGAAGATGAGAGAGCTGTTTCTTTACCAGATCAGGAGGGAGAATGCTTAGCTGAGTATATACTATGTGCCCAGACATGCACTAGATTCTGTGATTTCACATCTCCCAACAAGCCAGTGATGTAGATGTGACTATGTCCATTTTACAGAGTAAGAAAATGAGGTGCACAGAGGTTAATTAACTTGTTAAAAGTCATTGAAACCCAATTTGAGCTGGAAGCCTTTGGAAAATAGATAAGCTCTTCTCTGCTCAGCAGTCAGGTAAATTCCAATAGAAGGTTCAGAAGGGTGGCTGCTCACTACCTTTCAATGCCCCATCTAATTTTCATTTAATCTAACTTCAAGGTACACCCTATTTTGTTTCCTTTTATGCATTTATTAATAAATTGAGTAGGACACACAGAAGACAAGTACTATTTCTATTTTACCAAAATCTGATATTCATATATATGGTATTTACTGTTCTTTTTCTTCTGTGTCTCTTTTTCGAATCCCAGCATGTTATATTCCAGGTCAATGGATTTTTTTTTTTTTTTTTTTCGAGACGGAGTCTTGCTCTGTCGCCCAGGCTGGAGTGCAGTGGTGTGATCTCCACTCAATGCAAGCTCCGCCTCCCGGGTTCATGCCATTCTCCTGCCTCAGCCTCCCGAGTAGCTGGGACTACAGGTACCCGCCACCATGCCCAGCTAATTTTTTCTGTTTTTTAGTAGAGATGGGGTTCCACCGTGTTAGCCAGGATGGTCTCGATCTCCTGACCTCATGATTCGCCCGCCTCAGCCTCCCAAAGTGCTGGGATTACAGGCGTGAGCCACCGCGCCTGGCCCAGGCCAATGGATTTTAAGAACGTGGCCTTAGCTTCCAGCCCACCAGCAAAGACTTCTAAGGGACAGGCCATGAGTCATAGTTGTTCTTCATTCAAGGAATGCTTGGAATGAAGTGGACTATTGCATGCCAGAGTGGTCAAGGACTTAAGTCAGAGGCTCTGCAAGCAATTCAGGTGGTAGAGAGAAGGCAGATGCCGTAAATCTTACCCTTCTCCTTCACTCAGTTCTCGCTCCCCACCCTTCCGTTAGATGTCTGAGCCTAACTTGCTCGTGGATGGGCGTTTGTTTAAGCGTCTGATTCTTTTCCAGCTCTGCATGAAGCTGTTGCTTTCTAATCCTTCTTTTTCTGGACTAAAGGCACCCAATCAGAATATTTTACATTTGAAAAGAAGTATAAATTTATATACCTCTGCCAATCACTTGTGTTCTAATTCTGCCTCCTTTTCTCCTTCAATAAAGATATAAACATAGACACACAAACACAAACGCATCAAGTACTTCCTACTGTAATTTCTTGTTTAAAGGTATCTTCATTTTAAAACAAGTATGGTGGCTAATCAAGACCAACAGGCTATGAAAATCTCTCCCTGACTTCCATTTTAAAGTGAAAACTTCCAGAAGAAAAGGATTATGACAAATAAACACAAAAGCGCAAAAATATTCAAACTCTCATTTTGATCAGAACCATGAAACGTGAAAGGAAGTAGACCCATATCAAACAGCTAGTCCACCTTAGACCCTTCAGATGGATATCATTTATGTTACACTCAATTTATGTTACAGAGCTCAATGGCTGGGCTCTGGTCATCTGTTGTCACCTAAAGTGTACAGAAAAATAGAGTAGATGCTCAGTAACATTTGTTGAAGGAGTTTCAGTCATATGAGATTGACCCCCTAGTTAATAAAACAAAGGCAACTTTTTTGGTAAGTAAATTTTATTTTGATCCTTTGAATGGTCCCAAACAAGCGAACTTATTTCAATGGAAGAAAAGGCAATGCTCTCAAGACCTTGGGGCCCAGCACATTGTTAAGCTGGCCAAAGCTGGAACCGTTCACTACAGAATCTCACAGGTCAAGGGGCCTTGGAAATATTCACAGCCGAGCCTCTTCTGCAGGTCCTGTTCACAGCCACCCACCCCCCATGAATTCTGGGTCTACTTCTCCCCTAATTCCATGAGATCCACTCTTTTCACTTTGTTTCCCAGGGGGAAGAGGCTCAAATTGCATTCTGAATTGATCTAGTATCATTAATTGCCTAGTTTGTCCAATCTAGAAGCTTTAACGGCTCAAAAATTGCTTTTCTCAGATAAGTCTACTACGTGAACACTTTCAGGAGGTGTTAACAGGTGTTATGAACAAAGAAAATGTTCTGGAATTAAGGGAAACATTGGGTTAAACAGATAAAACTTAAATAGATTTCTGCATTGCAGGCCTTATGAGAGCCTTTAATATGCTAATACACACATGAATTCCCCAAAGGAAGGTTATGGTAATGTTTCCCCCTCAGATACAAAGGATTTTCTCTTCTCCAGGAACAGGTCTGGAGTTAATGTTCCATGGAACACACTTTGAGACACAGTAGTCTATGTATTCTACCAAGTGTCAAGCTGTCTCTCAGACCCCGACCTAGAGCTTCCATCTTTAACACACGTGCATTTGGGGGCAGCTATTTGAAACATTTAGGACAAATGAAGGGTTTAAAGGGACAGCAGCCATTGAACCTGAGGCCTTAGAGCTAGAACTAAAAGATTGAGACATTAGGCTGTAATGGACTTCACTTGTTGGAAGAAACAGAGCAATGGCTGAATTTTCCCATCGCTGCAGAAAGAAACTTTTAGTAGAGGACTGCTGGTTCATATCTGAATCCCAGGAGCCCAGCTGGTCGATCTGTTTTAAAGTAGGGCACATCACCTCACTTCCCCAGGCTGCCCCACCAGGTGCACGTCGCGTATCTATCACCTGCAATGTGGTTCGTCTGCTTGATTTTTGTTTCCCATGCTATCGTATGAGGTCATTGCCTTCTTTAGCTGAGACCAAGTGCAGCTGCCAGAACCTCATGCTCTTTCCTGATTGTAATAAGCTCTGCTTTCTCTCCTCTGGTTTTTTTTCTTGTAGCCTCATTAGGAGCAGAATGGTGAGTCAGTGAGGCTCTGATTTGTTCCATGGCAGCCTGTTAGGACCAGGTACCTGACCAAGGACTTGTGGAAACGCAGGGACCTTGGCGCAGGAAGGCACTGACCTCTGTTCTTGAGAGGTTGATGTCCTCATGCTAAGGACAACCTAGGTCCTCGTTGTGGGTGGTACAGGCCGAGTGATGGCGCCTCCCTCTCGCCCTGGAAACCCATCCTCTCTGGGACTCTGCTCAGGTCTGGCCAGAGAACCTTCACAGTCTTGATCACCCCCTCCCTGCTCCCTGTCACTTCCCCAGGAAGCAAACTGACTCAGAAGAAAAGGGAGGCGGCAGCAAAGGTGCTGTCCTGGCTCCGCCACTCATTAGCACGCTGCCCCCTTGTGGCCAGCTTCGTTCTAGTTGTTTTCCCAGGTAAATTCTGAGCTACTCGCCACTTACTTTGAAGCCTACAGGAATGAGAACTTTATTAGGAGAGAAAGAAACTTGAGAATATCTACACGCAACCGCTCGCCTGACACACCCTGAGCTTCTCCACTTCCGTGTTCGGGATGCCCTTTCTCACCCTTTCCTCTTGTCGAATTGCTAATCTTTCAAGACATGGCTGATTGTGATTGTGTCTTGGTTATGGCCTCTCGAAGTGTGCGATGGGTTTCAGAGGTTTTCTGTGCAGATGTGTACATATATGTAAAGGCAGCTGTGTGACTACAAGACAACATGAATAAACACATAAAGACAGTAAACAGAGACGTAGGAACACCACGTGTACACGTATACATGCAAGCGGGGAGGTGAAGATTCAGGGATTTGGTGCTTTTCTGGTGCATTTCCTGTTGGATTTGCTGACCCAGGAGTCTGATAAGAACCCTGGTTTACTTTCTCTGCACAATCAAAAAAAAAAAAAAGATTATCAACAGTAAAATATCCTCTCCACTCACCAAATGTTCACATTTTGCAGAAATATATAGCTTTTTCTTTCTGAAAGCCCCTTCCAGACCAAGTCTTCGACCTCTGGGATTTACATATTTACAGGAGACAAAGCCACACCTAATCTCTGTTGTGGGGGGAACGCTGGGAGAGGTCAAAGGTTAACATTACCTGTATGACAGTCCCCGATACTGTGTGGTGACATCGGGGAGGTCGTCTGGTTTGGAGCCAATTCCATTGCCAGCCTTTGAAAATATACCAGAGTCCATAGGAAAATTAGCAAGTCAGAGAACAGGGAGGCTGTGAATGCACAGGGCTTCCAAAGAGGGGGTTCCCAATGCACTCGTGGTGGCAGGAGCAGACATGGAACCAGGAGCCCCTGGCTCTAAGTCTGCCATCCTCCTCTCCAGCTGTGTGCCTTCCCCAACTCTTAGCTGCCTCCTCGCTGAGCTGAGGACACGCCCTGCTCATCTCACAGGGAGTGTTTTGGGGATCAAATTGGATTACAGTTGTAAAAACCACTTTGAAAACTCTCAAGTGTTTTACAAACGTGAGAGAGTGTTAATAATGTCGTTCCCAGCGTTATGCCCCTACGTTCTTTATGAGCATGAAGAGAGAGCTCATTGGCTTAAGCGACTGCAGTGGACAGATCTCTCCTAAGTCTCACATTTCTCCTCTTTCCCTCTGGGGCATTCTGTAAGGTATTCTCAAGGCCTTGCACATGCTCCTGGAAAGTGATGATCTGGGATAGTAAAATAGCCCCATTTCTTGGAAGTTAGGAGCAGAGCTTCATCCACAACTAAGGAGTCCTGCTGCTTTCCATGCAGATGCAAAGAAGAAACAGATGTGAGGGTCTCAGCTGATTATAAAGCATAATCCAAAGGAAAAAGAGCGCCCGCACAGGGAGGTTTAGGAGAATTTTGAGTCAGAATGACATATTTTTACATATATTAAAAAAGTGTTATTGGGTGTTCAAAATCTCTGCCCGCAGAAACAATTCAGTTCACTCCCAAAAAAGATTTCCTCTGCATATCCGTTTGAGAAAGTGGCCGCAAATCAAATAACTGGCATGCTCTTGGATTGACAGAGCCAGGTAGAGGGGCAAGATAAGGCAGAGGACAGGCATGCAGACCCTTAAGTTAAGAGGACTGGGATCTGGAGCTGGCCTAGTTATCCCCAAACCACCTGGGGCCCAAGAGTCCTTACGGTCAGAGAATCCCCCAGAGCAGCCACAACTTGGATGTCTGCAGGTCTCAGGGCATGCACTGGAAAGACAAGTGGACACACTTAGGGCTGCAGGAGGGAAGCCACAGTCACACTCTAGTGCCTCTGGCTTCAAGCAAGATCCAAAACACAATCTGCATGAGCACTGGGGCCATGCAGGGCTGGGTGTGCACAGTGCCATGGAGGCAAAGTTATATGAGGACAGTTTTCCCGTAAGACACAACTAATCCTGGACCTACAGGGAAAGAGAGGTGCAGAGAGGGAGAAGGAGGGAGAAGAAGAAAAGTGGGGAAAGGGAGAAGGAGAGATGGAGGGAAGGAAGAAGGGAAAGGTGGGAGGGAGGGCAGGGCAGAGTAGGAGCTCATTTTAGTGCCAGTGGTCATGGGAGATGACAGCCATGGCCTGAGTGCACAACTAGACGGGCATCAAACCACATTAAGACGAGGTGCAGGACCTGACGTGCAGCCCGTTTAAAGGTGGGTTCTGAATTTCCACCAAGAGTCTGAGAATAGCCATGTTGGGCCTTTCCTTGCCCCCACATCTCTTCTGAACAGCCCAGGGAAACTTCCAGGCCCTACTGTAGGCGGCAGTGATTGCAGAGCCTAGGGCCACAGAGCCAGCTTCCTCTTGGGACTGGGGCCCACCTCTGGGCTGAGCCACCAAGGGTGTGCTCACAGGGCTCCTCTGCTTGTGCTCTAAGAGGCGCAGGTGGGCAGGAGACGGCTCCTGGTCCTAGGTGCCTTGGTGCCTGCTGGGCATGGTGTCACCACCAGCCAGAGTGGTGCGAAACAGGGACTCATCCCAGGTGACCACCCAGGCAGACAGCAAGCACTGGCCGTCACTGTGCCATTTAGTGAGTGTGAAAGTCAGGTCAGAGGACTCACCAGCATAGCAGCCCCTGTGGAGGGGCCCTGGGTCCTGCTGTGCCATAGGGGGCTTACCTGAGGTAGGGTGCAAGGCAGAAGGGGCTCTGTCCCTGCATGGCAGCCAGGTCCCATGACCCTAAGGGCATAGAACAAATCCCAGAATCTCAGGGTTGAAAGGGACCAGAAAAACTGGCTATCAGATGTACCCCAAGAACTTTGAAAAATACAGATTCCTGGGTCCTACTCCTAGGGAGGGGCCTCAAAAGGGCCTTTGAAGAAGGCTCCCTAGGTGATTTTGCGTAGCGGCCACAGATCGAGGTCCACTCATCGAGTTCAGACCCCTCCACCGTCCAATGCAAGAATCAGGGCAGCAACAAATGACCCCACTCCACACCTGCCCCTGCTTCTGCACCAGCTCTACAAGGAAGGGGATTTCTCTTCACTTATGTCGCAGTGAAGCTGTGATTGGGTTGGCTGGATGCCTTCCAGCTGTTATCCACGGCATTTACTCTGCCCACTACCCCATCTGAAGGTCAGGTGGGTGGCCTTTATGCCCATCTAGAACTCTTGCCCGCTTTCCCACCCTGTCCTGTTGGGCCTGTCCCAGCCCAGGGGTTGCCCATTGCATTGCCTGGTGAGTCAAGAGGAGGCAAGAGGCAGGTACCTGCATGCTGTTCTTGTAGGTCCTCAGAAACGGCTGGACCTGTGAGGAGAGGGGGGTGAGCAATGGCAGCAAATTCTGCTCACTTCTCTGCTTGTCAGCACTCAGTTAAGTGTCGGCCTGGCACAAACAGCTGCGGCCTGCCTGCCCTGTGTCCCAAGCCCAGCCTCTACCAGGCTGACTCCCTCCCAAGATGCAGGGGGCCGTCTCTGCAACCTGAACCCAGCACAAAGAATGAGCATCAATTCATGCTTCACGGGAACGCGCCTGTCTTCCTTCCACCTCCCGCGTGGCTGGCTGAAGATGGCTGTGCTGCCTCTCTTTCTCCACCCTCCCCTCTTCCAACCATGCACCTCTTTCTGCTGGAAAAAGCCCTTGTCTCCGCTCCCCAGGCTCCTTTACCACTCCATGCCTACCCCACCCTGCAGTGACCAGGGCCCCTTCCTGCCCAGGCAAGAAAAGTCAGATGATTTTGGTCCTGCCTCACGTAAACCCCATACAATGGTTTCCAGTGTCAGCCTGGGAGCCCTCTGGGTATACAGAGGGATTCTTGGGGACGAGGACAGCTGCTGCAGAGCTCCAAGAATCTTTCTGAGAACTTGTGAGTAAAAATGGGGGCTTCTTCTGCTTTTCTTTCCCTAGCTCCAGCTTCCAATTTACTCCCCACCACCCAACTAGAGATACTTCTAGGTCTCGATTCCTCGCTCTACCCATATTGTCATGGAGGCAGGGGCTATATGAAGACAAGGGATCCTTCCGCCCCATCTGCCCTTGAAGTTCTCTGCTGCCCTCAGCTTTCAGAATGACAGGTAGATGTGGCTGCCATGCTCATCTTGCCTGCCCCAAAGAGTTGTCTCCACCCCAGACATGTGTGAGGGCTCCCAGCCACGCAGGGACCAAGCACTCCCAGGCCTCTGGGTCACTGGGGGTGGCCGTCCCTCTCAGTACAACCAGATGGGGCATTTGGGGCAGTTAACCCTGGAGTATAAAATGGGGTGGGTGGGCAGGCAGAGCTGGGGTGAGGGTGAGGGCCTAGGATGAAATGAGCCAA